>NC_000015.10:91744308-91895823 GCF_000001405.40 Homo sapiens | reverse complement strand
ACACCACATAATTTAATAACCTGTAACGATAAATGCCATGGCACTTGGCAACTCAAAAGATTAGATAGAAGAAAGCTAGAGTGCACGCTTGGTGCAATAACCCTAAGTGTTTAGGCTGGAGGAAGTCAAGAAAATAGCTTCAATATCTCATATCATATGAAATGAGACAGATTATTAAGAACTACTAGAAGCACTATGAATCAACAGTATTGGCTGGGAAACCAGATGGCTAGTCACAGTAATTTTCTCCCAGTAATCAAATGTTAGTTTCATTTACAAAAAGCTTCCATATGAAGTCCTGCGTCAATAAAACATTGTATGCAAGCCCTGGATGACCACTATGGTTGAGCTAGCCCCTTGTATACAAGAAATACACTCATTTTAAAACAGCCCTAAATCCTATGGCCTGGTATAGCAACAAATATGCATCACATTAAACTACTTGACACTTCCTTTCCTGGTTCATTGTTTCATGAAGAAATGAACCCACAGCTAGAGGAACCACTTTGGAGTTAAACTTCCTTTCTGCTGAAACTGATCATCATATTATTAATATCTCTAGTGATAAAGTCTCATTTCTCCCAGACACCAAGAAAGTGCACTGTGTTACTAGCACAGGGTTCTTACACACAGGGAGTCACACTGCCTTCACGCCCACAGCTCATTTTGCTTTAAAGGCTTCTTTTTCATGTAAAATACATCCCCTCAAAGCAGTTCTAAAGATTGGACTTGAAGAGATGTACCTACACTGCTACAGGCTGTGAAATAATTGCCCAGGAACTCTGTTCCTAAAGGACAAACAAAAAAGCAGGGACTTCTGTGTCCTCACAAAGCAAATGCCTTGAGTCTCTGGAGACTCACAGCCACAAGTCCAGGATGCAGGTATGGATTAGGAACAACAGACTCAACCTTGATTCTTGAGAGTTCTTGCAGGCGAGCTACAACCTGCTTCTACGCACTCCCTGTCCCTCCGGGGGTTTCACTGTTCTGTGCCTCTGTGTGGCAGAAGCATGTGCAGGGTGAGGGTGAGTAAGCCCTTGCTCAGTCAAGTGGGGCTCCAGCAGGAGTAGCTGACATCACCAGAGAGCCTTTTAGAAATTCAAAAATCTCAGACCCTGCCCCAGACCCACAGAGTCAAATTCTACATTTTACCAAGATCCCCAGTGGTACATATGAACATTCAAGTCAAAAATGCTGCCTCGGGCTACACGGGTCTTCAGCCCCACTGTCCACTCCATGGCAACACAGTGCTGGGGACCCTCCTCCATTGCCTCTGCTGCCTTCAGACATCTAATCCACCCATCACTTGGCCCTACCTTGGCAGATTCCAATCTGTCCACTCCTCTGTCTCCACTGCTACCACCTATGACCTGGCGACCATCAACCCCTCACCTGAGATACCACCACACCTGCCATGCCTCTCCCCATTGTCCATGCACACTACATGGCAATTAGATATTTTGAGTACCAAAGTCACATCATGGCAAGTTACTCAGTATTTTCCAATGGCTCCCCATGGGCCTGGAATAAAATCCTAACTCCGGACCCTCCTGGCCTGCAAGATGCTATAAAACCCCCCACCCCTGCCCTCCTCTCCAACCTCATTTCCTACCACCATCCCATATGTTTACCATTCAAACCACACCAGTTGCCTTGCTGTTCTGCAAACAGATCAAACCCATCCTCAACTTGAGACAATGTGCTACTGCATCTGCCTGGAACACTCTTATCCCAGATCATGACAAGGCTGATTTCTCCCCAGGCAGGTCTTAGCTCAAACGTCCCCTCCTGAGAAAGGCTTCCTTTGATCAGCACCACCTTCGCTTCCAATCCAGTCGCTATGGCAACACACTTTTGGTCCTCCTGGCATTCAAGTACCTTGTCCAGAAGTGTCCTGTTCACTGTGTGCTTTTCAATCATCTGTTCCCTACCTGCGTACAAGTTCTTTGAAAGCCAAGACTTTATCTTTGCTGATTGCTAGTTCCTAGAAGAGTAACTGATGTATAACAGGAACTTAACAAACATTTGTCGAATAGATGGATAGATGGATAAATAGAAGAAAAAGTACCGGCCTAAAAGTTCTAACTCTGTTCTCAATTCTGGCTGCATGTTAACCACCCACGGATGTTTGAGAAATGCTGATAAAAGACTGTACGGTCTGAATGTTTGTGTCCTTTTAAAAATGTTCATATATTGAAACCTAACCACCAATGTGATAGTATTAGGAGGTGAAGCCTTTGGGAGGTGATTAAGTCATGAGGGTGAGGCCCTCATGAATGGGATTAGTGCCCTTATAACAGAGGCCCCAAAGAGTTGCCACACCCTTTGGCCTGGTGAGGACACAATGAGAAGGTGCCATCTATCAACCAGAAAGCAGGCCCTTACCAGATACCAGATCAGCCAGTACTTTGATCTTGGACTTTCCAGCCTTCATAACTATGAGAAATAAATGTTTGTTGTTTCTAAGCCACCCAGTTTATGGTATCGTGTTATAGCAGTCCAAACCAACTATGACACAGACCAAGTGAATCTCAACCTCTGAGCCCACTGGAACAGGGCTGTCCAACAGGACAGCCACTGGCCACATGTGGCTAAGTTTAAATTAATTAAAATGAAATAAAATGTAAAATGCAGCTCTTTAATCATACTACCCACATGTCAAGTATTCATCAGCTACATGTGGCTAGTTAGTGCCTACCTTGCAGAAGAGCAGAGATAAGGCATCTTCCCATAATGCAGAAAGCTCTATTTGAGTTCTAGAAATTATTCTAAGGCTTATTTGTTATGTGGCTCATTTATGCATTGAAGAATCCTTATTCAGCACCTATTACTAGCCAAGTATCATACTAAGTGCTAAAAATAACAGTAACAAAACATTGTCATAGCACCTGCTATGCACCAGATTATTGTTCTAACAGCTTAACAGATATTAATTCATTTTATTGTGACATTAGCTATGTTAAAGGAATACTATTATTATCCCCATTTTACGTACAAGGAAATTTCAGCACAGAGAGATTTCAGAAACTTACTGGGGAGTAGTCACGCAGCTGGTGAGATATGGAATCAGAACTGGAATCTAGGCCCCGTGTTAAAGGACATTTATAAAGAGAGCTGAGTAAGACGGAAGATCCTCCACATTTCTTAGCTGTGATAACCGAGTCTCAGGCTGACCAAGGAGCTTGCTTGGCACAGTCAGTGTGTGGCACAGCTGAGATAAGAGCTCCACTCCATGCCAGGATGCCTTTATGGACAATAAGCTGTTCTTACCTCCTACTCATGTCACAAATGCAGGTCAGGAAAATACTATCCAGGCTGGGAAATTCCTCTGGAGCCAGAGGATAAGTCCTACCTCCATTCCAGTTACCTTGTTCACAGGTAAATCTGCCCATTCTGGGAAAATTCCAGGGTACATGGCCTGGGCAGGGACTCTTCACGTACCTCTTTCTTCTATGAATCTGCAGCCAGCTCTGTTTGTTAGCGCTTTTCTCCAAATAGTAATGAAAAACACTGCTCCAATGCATCCCATGAATGAGGAAGGTAGGACGATACGAGTGGGGACAGAGTGGGCCTCAGGGTTAGATCTACCAGGTTCAATTCAAGAACCATCATCTTCTTAAGTAGTAAAGACAGACCTTTCCTGAGCCTGTTTCCTCATTTGCAAAGTGGTAATATCAGCACTTTGTAGGCTGTTGGGGAGATTACACATCATATTCTACAAGTGTCAAAAGGGCAAAGCTGGGGGGAGGGGGCAGCCTGTCCTTTCAATGTCATACTGGAACATTGTTTAACAGACCAACCCAGGATTACTTATTTATCTAGGACAGGGGTCCACATACTATGGCCCAAGGCCAAATCCCATTCACCACCTGTCTGTGTTAAGTAGAGTGTCTCTGGAACACAGCCATGCCCATTTGTGTAGCCATCACGGCTATAGCAGAGTTGAGTTGTGAGAGAGCAACAGAGACAGTATGGCCTGCAAAGCCTGAAATATTTACTATACAGCTCTTTACGTGGTAAGTTTCCCAAACCCTGATGCAGAGGAATATACCTGGGTTTGATTTTCCTATTTACTATATATTAAGGGCACGAACACTGTGAAGCTGCGTGTTAACTTACAGATTGCTGTACAGTAGAAAAGATAAACCCCAAAGTCAAAGAAACATTACCCTGTAAGACATTCACTAATTTTGTATATGTAGAGATTGAATTTCCCATGAAGCTGACCCTGGAATTAACACTAGTGAGCCTCAAGTTTATGCAAGGGTACTCTAGGGGCTAACCTAGAACCCCTACGTAAGAGGGAGGAAAAGAAGCAGGTCTGGGTAGAGTGAGAATTGGGGATGGGATGCAGTTGCAACAGAAGGCTTAGCTGACCCTATGGGAGGTTCTGAATACAGGATAAGTGACCTTCAAGAGATTCAAGCAGTGGTAAGAGAATTGGTCTTTTTATCTGCTCATGGATCAGACATTGGGTGCAGGCTGCCCTGGAAGAAAGCCTGACTTCAGACAAGGTGGCTGTCTTCAGCCAAGGTAGTCCTAAATGGAGCTGACAGCTGGGCTCTTTCTGCTGGCAATATTCCTGAAGCTACGGTACCTGTGGCTGATTTGAATGGTCCATCACAATTTCCCCCACACTTACCTAAAAATGGTTCTGTTCTATCACT
This sequence comes from Homo sapiens, assembly GCF_000001405.40. Classification (NCBI taxonomy): domain Eukaryota; kingdom Metazoa; phylum Chordata; class Mammalia; order Primates; family Hominidae; genus Homo; species Homo sapiens. Next base: position 91,891,156 of record NC_000015.10, on the reverse strand, counting down.
CTTTTTTTTTTTTTTTCCAAAATGCCAATAAATACCAAGTTCCTCAAAAGCTTCTTTGAGCTGGCTTTACCAACTCACTGGTTCCCTCATTAATGAGTTAAATAAAATAGTATTTGACTCGGTTTCTCTCTGTAATTGCATGAAGGGCCAAGTTTTAACTTTCTCACCATTATTTTCTGACAGAATGCACACATTACGTGGCAATTATTGTGATATTATCATAAGGGAGAAAGCCTTTACTTAAAAATGAATGGGCAGTCCCCACCCAGCAATGTCTACCTTTCTTCTGAGCCTCGCAGTCTGGCCAGGGCAGTAGTGAGGCATCAGTGAGTCACACCAGCAGAGAGCTCCTTCTCCTCCAGGGTCAACCTGGATTGGCTGGCTGGAAGGTGAGGGAGGCTGCCCAGACCAGAAAACTCTGGGGAAAATAACCAGAGGCTAAATCAACCTGCCTTTAAGAGTTGGTATTTATCAGAGCCTTAAAAGACAAAGAGCCTTTATTTGGCTTGTGCTAAGGGATGGGGATCAGAAAGCATTTTCTCAGAATTCCAGTTAAGTCTCTTCATGGGAGGAAGTAAAATGATAGATACAACATCTCGAACATCCTTGCTTTGAAATGCACAGTAAGAATCAGAATTGTCAATGCCAGGCATAGGGGATAGAGCTCTGGGTGAGGCCACTGGGAGGGCTCTGGCAGTCATGAGTAGGTATCAAGGTCTCTGTAAGAGAGAGGTTCAGGAAAGGCTCAGGAAGACCCAGGATATAATATATGTTTCCTGCAAGCTGAGCACATAGTCATGATTAGGGACCAGGCAACTTACTTAAAAATACAACCACCACCACAGCAAGAAGATGAAAATGGATGAGTATGGTGATGGAGAGATGAACAATTATACAGCAAATATAGCAAAATGTTAATTGCAGAATCATGACAGTGGGTATACGTGTATTAACTATATAATTCAAGTTTTATGCTTAATTTTTTCAATAATAAAATATTGAGGGGAAATAACTACTGAGAGTGCCCACAAGGCAAAACACAAACTCAGTCCTACTATATTCCACATGTTAAATGTGTACATATTTACACAATATACATGCTGATATGCCTCTATATTTATAGTCATAAATGAGTAAAATACACAACTATATGCAGAATATTGGACATGTAAACAAATTTTGTTTCTAGCAAGAAATTAATGCTGCAAGCTTCCCAGACTGCATAACTCAGTCTAGGATACGCGGACTAGACTAGGAAAGACTATCTTTCCCTTAAAGTAGGTTAGTCTTAAATGTAACAGAAAATCGCTCAGGGCGAATGGTATTTATGAACTAGACATCACAGAATGACAACAGTTATGAATGATGCAAAATGAAATCATTCAAACAACCTATGGAAAAAGAGCAAAATTCAGCTATCATACTTTCACCTTAATGGCCTGGTTGATTTGCCTGGGCAAACTGCCTAAAGGAACATGTAGAGAACAAGGCCTGTCTCTTTTCTTATAAGAGAGCAAGACCAGATCCACCCTACAGTTATGCAGACAATACAAGCATATTCTAGGTGCAATAATTATGCTATATATGACACTAAGCGAACAGCAATTGCATTTGCAATGAGCCTACCTTACAGAGCTTCCAGATCAGTCAATTCATAGAACAAGCAAGCACAGTGTTTTATAAGGCACAGAGCCTCAGACTAATGTACACATCTTACTGCCCACTACCAAAGGTCAAGATACCCCTGGGATGTAAGAAGAGGCAGTGTGAGCTCTGGACCAGAGACCCAGGGAAATTGAAGGGCTAGGATAAGTGCTGAGTGATGAGTAACAGCCTTAGGGGAGATAGCAGAGGCCTACAGGTGCTATGAAGCCCATAAAGTGTTGCAAATGCACTCCAGGTCCAGCAGGACCACCCACAGTCCTTTCCTGGCAACAATTTTAGAACTTACATTCATCTAAGGAGCATGCATCTCCAGTGTTATGACATCAGTCAAGGAACAATAAGAGTTTATGCAGAAAACCATCCACGTCCACTTAGCTGGAATATATTTATTCTGTAATAACAAGTACACAAATGTTAGCTATATGTTAGCTAGTAATAATTGTAGGTTTTTTTTTTTTGGTTTTTCTTTTCTTTTTTTTTTTTAGAGACAGTCTCACTCTTGTTACCCAGGCTGGACTGCAATAGCATGATCACAGCTCCCCGAAACCTTATGCTCCTGGGCTCAAGCGATCCGCCCACCCCAGCCTCCTGAGCAGCTAGAGCTACAGGTGTGTGCCACATTGCCCAGCTAATTGGTGTTGTTTTTTTTGTTTTGTTTTGTTTTGTTTTTTTGTAGAGATGGGGTCTCACTATGTTGCCCAAGCTGGTATCTAACTACTGGCCTCAAATGATCTTTCCATCTCTGTCTTCCAAAGCACTAAGATTACAGGTATGAGCCACTGTACCCAGCCAGCTACTGCTAACATTAATACAAGTAATTTTAATTAAACATTTATTACATAGCAGGTAGTATGTTAAGCACTTTTACAGGTTAATCCTGCTAATCTCCTACAAGATAAGTGCTATCACTAAGCCACTTTGTAGGAAAAAAAATTGAGATTTCATATGCCTAGGACTATTCTGAACCTGGTATAAGGGACTGGAATCCAAGGAGTTTAATTCTAGAGTCACACTAAACACTTTAGCTAACTGCTTGTTAAAATCAAATAGTTATGCATATGTCATTTGTATAACTGGATTGCATGACTGAAATTAAGTGAATGAAGAGCAAAGGGCAACAGCAAGTATATCTGTAAGGGCCCAAGACACACATGCTCAGGATGTAATAAGAGAGCCGGCAGCCCATACTGATTCGACGGGCCAGTCTCTGAACCCACACCCCATTCAGATGACACTGCCAACCCCATCTCTGAGACAGAGGGAGTTGGAAGTTCTGCAAAGAAAGTATTGACTTCCAGCTCCTGACTCCCAGCCAGCCCTTCACTTTGCAACAGTGAGAGGGCGGGGAGTATTCCAAAATCGGTTAATAATGCAACCAACCAAACCACAAACAAGAGCATAATTAAAGCTCTTTTACTTTGGTTTAAAATAATCTCAAATCTGCCAAACACAGATGACTACACAGAACAAAGCAGCACATCATGGGGTTTATTTGGCTTCTCCTTCTGTTTGGGACTCTGCCTGAGAAAACTAATTATGTACTCAGCACATACAGTGTGTAAGATCTGAACAAGGTGCTTTTCACAAACACTATCTTATTAAATCCTGGCACAAACTGTAGTGTAGGTATTACTAAGTTCAATTTGGAGAAACAGAAGGAGAGGTTCAGAGAGGTTAAGTAATTTGTCCAAGGGCACACAGCTAGCCTAGCAGAATGATATTTTAAACCTAGGTAGTTGCATCCAGCCTGGTTTTATTAAACCATGTGGCTACCTCGAATATCTTTCATCAAAAAGACACATAAAAGACAGGGAGAGAACAGCAGGCCTCAGAAGTTCCCAGGATTGAAATCTGTTTATTACTACGAAGTGGCCAATCACCTCTGCGGGGCAGGCCAGCAACCCTGGCACCAGCTGGGTTCTAAAAGGCCAAAGCTGCCAGGCCATGCCAAGATGCCACAATGAAAATGAGCATTGTTTGGGTCAGCTGCTGCAGGGCTCCTGTGCACACAGGCAGTACCATGTCACTGAATGGAGGGGGTGCCTCAAGGGTGCAGGGTTAGCGGCCGCAATGTCTCATGCAGGCAGGCAGGCAAGCAAAGAGGGGCCTGAAATTAGTGCTTTAGGGTCATTGTTGCAGGAATTGGGCAGGCAGGGGTCTCGACATCAAAACTCAGGCAGGAAATAGCTCAAGCCATTCTGCCCTCTGGGGAAAATGGCCGAGGAAGGGGGAAGGGGTAAAAGGGATGACAATATTCTAAAGAGAAAAGGAAAGCATTGAAGAATAAAGCAAAATGCCATCAACCTGTGGCCCACTCTGGATTAACTCTGAATTCTAAGGCACTTCTAAACCTGTCTATGACCCAGCACTGAATTAGACACTTGACAGTGATAATGACACCTGGCATTCACACGTCAGTCCCCTGTGCCCTCCCACAAAACACCATAAAAGCCACTAAGGATTTCCCACTGGAAATGGGCTTGGCCAATATACAGACACAGGCAGAAACAAAGAGGGGAGAATAAACTCCTGCTCCCTCTCCCACGCAACTGCAACTTCAGCTGTAAGCAGAATTTTTAACCTCCTGAGCCTGGGGTTCTGAATGATAATATACAAATTGCAAGACTAGAAACAGAATATATAAGGCACTTGTCAGCACCTGCCATCTTGCAGAGCTCATTAAATACCCATGATTACTCACATTCACAACTTTTAAAGAGAATCAACAGAGGGCCATCACATCGTACCCCTGAATTATTGTCTGGAGTTGAGCTCGATTATTCAGATTGATGTAGTCAGTGTGAAGTCTTGAAAGCAAAGCCTGAGAGATAAGGACATTGGATGCATCTGTGCTGTGTGCCAGTAGGTGACTTAGGAATCAGTAAGCACATCAAATATGGTCACACCGTAGAAACAACACTGACGCTGAGGCTGAATCTTCCATCTCTCTTTGGAAGGGCAAAGCGTAAAGAGGAAAATCACCAGGTCCAAGTCAATGCTCACTGGGGCCTTCTAGGCATGGAGCACTGCTGAGGACTTCACACAACTCACGCTGATGTGGACACAAACAGGAGCCACCCAGACCCAAGGTAGGTGCAGCGGGCCAGGGGCTCATAGGAGGCAGCTCTTGCCTAAAAGGAGGACTTGAAGGAAATCTCAATTAAAAGAGAAGCATGAGAGACAAGCGCTGTTGTCAATTTCTAATTAGTAAGAGTTAGCTGGTGAGAAAAAGATACAATCCTCTAAGCTTCCAATGTGGATTTTTGTGCTCTGCTACTACTTTCCATTGCACAACTAAGGGAGACCAAGGGGAAGCGCAGGACACACTCAAGAAAGGGAACAATCAAAGGCAAAAATGCAGAGGTAAGCAGGAGTACTAGGGAAATGGACTAGTCAGATTTGCCAGCCCCAATATTTAAAAGGGACCAACTCTGCCTCCCTGTGGCTCACAGGGGCCTGCCGGGTCTGGTCTTCCACCCACCTCTCTGCTTTCATCTTCCCCTGCCTCCCTCTCACCCTCTCTGCTAGAGACACACTGGTCTTTCCACTCCCCGACCACATCAAGCATATTTCAACCCCAGGGCCTTTGCACTTCCTAGTCCCTCTGCCTGAAACATTCTTGCTCCAAATAGTTATATAATTTGATCTCACACTTCTTTCAAATCTACTCAAATATCACCCGCCCAGAGAGGCCTTTAGAGAAAGGTCCAGCCGATTTGTTAGCAGCCATAAAAATAGGGGAGGGGAAGGCGAAGGGATCTGAATTGTCAGACCGCATGTATGTGTCTGCTCACAGCAGGGATCTACCTAAAACTGTCTACTGTGAATGAAATCAAGGACAGAGAATGATGCACTTGTTCAAGGGCCATCAGTTTAAGGGTTGATATTGTATAAATGCTACAAACCAACCAAGGGCCAATTCTAAGCATCCCTAAAAGACTGTGAGGATCTTGGGCCCCGCTGCCCAGCAGCAAAGGGCTCCCTTTTCCTGTAATGTATGATTTGTGACATGCTGGAGTTTGGCTGCTGGAACAAAGAGGCATCTGCCCGGCTTCTTCCTGAAACACAGGAGCTAGGGCAGCTTTGGGAAGGGCATTCTGGCTTCAGATGTCCTCTGTCTCTTGATACAGGAGCTTAGGAAGCTCCTGACCTCTGAGCTCACTCAAGGAGAAGCCACTGCATCCTGCCTTTAAGGAGTGAGCCCTCAGGAGGTAGCCCTGGAGAAGGAAGATGGTGAGAAAAGGCCCAGCCAGGGGTGGGGCTTCGTTACTGGGCGTGGAGAGTGACGCCAAAGGGAGCAAAGAGGGAGACAAGCCCCCTGCTCCTTCTGCACCCTCCTTCCAGGTGACGCAGAGCAGGCGGGCAGGCTCAGCACCACCCCCATCACCTCCTTTCTGTGTCCCTATATGGGACGGAAAGGCTTTTTACTTCTAAAGGAACAAGAATTGGAGAACCCACACAACTCCTTTCCCCAGAAAGCTTTCCTGATTCACTGAGGAAGGGAATCAGACCCCATGCTCCTAGAATACAGGTGAGCTCGCCAGCAGGGGTCCAGCTGTTTTTAGGATAGACACTGACTAGTTTCCGTGATGCTCAGCTGCCTCAGGTCTAAAAGAATCAGCTTAAAAAAAAAGATGAAATGAGATAATATATGAAAATATGCAGCATGGGGCCTGGCATAGAGTAAGCATACAAAAAAATGCGTAATCCAAACAAATAATTCCAATGATGTAAAAAAAAAGAAATGTCACCATTAGAACTGAAATATAATTATCAAAGCTTTCCAGAAAATGCAGATTGTGAAAAATCACTTAAGCCTCATTTAATACTAGAAAATAGACATTTCATAATAATTTGATTGTAGTGATTCACATAATCTGTGCTGAATAAATCAATAAGTTTTATTTTAAAACAATTTAATATTAGAAAAAGGCTCTGAAGTCAGAATGCTCCCCTCCACCTTTTTTTTTTTTTTTTTTTGAGACAGAATCTCACTCTGTTGCCCAGGGTGGAGCGCAGTGACGCGATCTCGGCTCACTGCAACCTTCCACCTCCCAGGTTCAAGCGATTCTCCTGCTTCAGCCTCCCAAGTAGCTGGGAACACAGGCCTGCCCACCACATCTGGCTAATTTTTGTATTTTTTTAAGTAGAGACGGTGTTTCCCCATGTTGGCCAGTCTGGTCTTGAACTCCCAATCTCAGGTGATCCACCCACCTCAGCCTCCCAAAATGCTGGATTACAGGCGTAAGCCATTGCACCCAGCAGAATGCCCATTTTTGATGTCCAGTGTTGCCACTTTCAAGCTATGTGACAGGGAGAAAATTTCTCTAACTCTCAGGACCTCGGAATCCTCATTACAAAATGAAGATAATACGTGTACCTATCTCACAAGGTTTTGCAAAGATCCAAAAGGTTAATCCATAGGAAAACCTTATAACAGTGTTAGATACGATCACGATTCTTATTATCATTATTTTGATCATTAATGTGACTGTATGTATGATGCTATGGTGATAAAGCTTTCCAGTCAGGCCAGACCTTGGTCTGAAACTGGATCCCTTCAGTTGCCTGCTTTGTGAGATGTTTCTGCAAGCATCTCAGTGTGAGGATGAAAAGGACAGCAGAAGAAATGCATGTAACACGGTGCCTGGCACGGGGTGTGGACCCACAGAAGTGAGTGTAGCAACTGTGATGTACTATCAGGATGCTACACTACTATCGGTAAGTAGGATATTACAAACACACTTCTACTTCAAAAAATACTTGGAACCGAAATTTCTATGCACAACCCAGCAAAACACATGAACTAATTATGAGCGTATGAACAATGTATCAATGCATTGCCTTAGTAACTATTAAGGCTTATAAATCACAACTTGGAATTTATAACCCACAGCCACTTTCAGGGTATATAATGGCATAAAATAATTACAAATACCTGAGAGGTAGAACTCCCTATGGAAGACTACTGCATGCAAGAAAATGCAAAGGATGAAGGGCCCCAGCCAGTCAGTGCGAGGTACATCCCTCCGGGGAGCCCCAGCCTCAGAGCAAGAGAACCAGTCAGCGATTGGACGTTCTGATCCCAAACTGGCACTGCTTCTACCAAGAAGCCTCAGGTCTCTGGCATCCCCTGTGGTACCTCAGCTGATGGAGTGAAAAAGCAAACCAGAAAGAGGGGATTCTAGGGTCCCGGTGCCAAGTTTCTCTCTTCACTCTCCAAACAAGCTGACTTCACACAGGAAGACTCCTGGGCACCTGATGTAAGTGAAACCCAGACCACTTACTGCCCGCTGTTAAAAAAGGGGAAGGAGGGATACTTTGTTATCCACCAGCCTCAAAGCATCTGAGTAACATGGAGATTAAGAGGAGCTGACAGAGAGGACTGGAATCTGAATGGCTGGAGCACATGGCTCCTTCCCAAGTCCTCACCATTCTCCTCTCTGTTTACAGTGGATGGCGCCTGCCTGGCTTGCATGGTGGCTGCTGTCCCATCTGTCATTCCCTTACTCACTGGGCATTAATAGAGCAGCCCAACCAACTTCTTAAAGAACAAGGTGATATTACATCTCTTTGGGACACCAAGGTGATACCTAATTGCAAGGAAATCTTGATGAGGTTATACTTATCGCACATATTCAGTGAAATCCGAGTGGGATTAAGAAGTCATGGCTGGGCGCGGTAGCTCACACCTGTAATCTCAGCACTTTGGAAGGCCGAGATGGGCAGATGACCTGAGGTCAGGAGTTCGAGACCAGCCTGGCCAACATGGTGAAACCCTGTCTCTACTAAAAATACAAAAAAGTTAGCTGGACGTGGTGGTGGTGCATACGCCTGTGGTCCCAGCTACTCGGGAGGCTGAAGCAAGAGAATCGCTTGAACCCGGGAGGCGGAGGTTGCAGTGAGCTGAGATCATGCCACTGCACTCGGGCCTGGGCGACAGAGTGAAACTCCATCTCAAGGAAAAAAAAGAAGTCATACATAGTGGGGGTGGGGTGGGGGTGGAGGCCCCCAAATCTATACCGTATTAGCAAATTTCATGTCCCTCTGTTTGATCATTCATTGATTCATTTAGTAAATATTTACCAAAGGCTACCAAGTGTCCAACCTTAAACTGGGAGCTATGAACACAAAGAGAAGCAAATGCATGGGTTCAATATATACCATTTAAGGAGTGTGAATGGTTTGTCCACAATTCCACTCAGCAAATGCACATCCTGACTGCGTGCTTGAGAAGGGAGACATAAACTTCCCATCCTCACACTGAGTTTCAGTCCTCACATGCCCCCTCCTGTGCATAGATCTCACTATTACCATGCTAAGCGTGATCCTAGTGTTCAGAGGTAAGCACTGTTTATACTGCCTGATCCTGGAATGCACTGCTTCCCTTCTAGGCAACTAAGGGGATGTCCTTGAGTAATATTCCACCTCCATATAACATTGGTCTCAGTGGCTGCTTTAGAACCAAACTCTCCAATGAAAAGCATTTGTACTTGAAGGCACTGATCTTAAGGGTTTTGCATGATAATAGGGTCAATTGTAAAAGAGACCCGAAGAGAGGGGACCCAGACCTGGCCAGGGATGGAGCAGGGTTACCTCACTCAAGCATGACATTCCAGTGGTAAAAGATGACCAGGAGTTTGCCAGGCAAAGAAGTCATGCTGCTTGCGCTAAGAAAACCATCTCCTAAAGTCTGGGCCAGGGGAGTATGTGTTCGTGTTTCCCTTCCTGGTAGACTCGGCATGTTGCTTATTTACCACAGGGGACTTGCATTCTCCACTGAGCTCCGACAGAAAGACCATGTGCTGACTGGCTCGCTGACTGACAGCTGTTGGTATTAAAAGCTTCTGATCCAACGGTTTCTCTGAGTGGCTTTTAACTTCATCTCAAGGCTAAAAACCCTTTCTTTCTTTCTTTAGGTCAACAGCTTAAATATTAAATAGCAGAAGACAAGGGAAGGGGGCGGGTTAGTCTGCTGGTTCCATAAACTGCACGATAAAGAAAAAAACATTTTTCTTTATCGTGCATTTTATGCAAGGAAAGAGCAATGTCAAATCACTGGGTCTTTCAGCTCAGGCCACTTCCTGATCAACCTCAAACCAGGAATACAGACCTGTGGCTGGTATTCAGAGAACAGTTTTGGTGTTTAAATTCTGTCACATGACCAGTTAGAAAATCCCCGAGCATTTAAAAAAAAAAAAGGTGGGGGAACACTTTTCGAAATGAAAATCAATCAGTAAGACCAAGGAAAAAATTCCCTCTGCTTCCTGTCCTAGAATAAGGGTTCAGGTTTTGATCTTCCCCAAAAGGGTTGGAGGGACCAAGCTGGCCAAGCTGCTTGTATTACATCTCCTTTGATCACAGGCTCTGCAGAAAAGGTACCTTCTCCCATCAATTCTTGTAAGAGAAATGCAGATACATGAATGCAGGTCTCAGGGCACACAGAGCCTCCACCCAAGCCCCATCCTGAGCCCCATTTTGAAAGGAGACATATCGCCTGGCTAGCCAGCTCTCTGGGCTCATTCTGCTCTCTCCACCAAATTCCATCACTCTAAATAAATTGGGCCTTACTGCTTCTGGAAGGATCCCTGCTGAAAACCAAGAAGAGAACCATAGACAGAGACTGGGGCACTTTACACTGCTTCCTGATTCTGTGCTTTTAGGACCCCAAAAGCCCTCTCCCAGATACTTCTGTTTAAATAGATAAGCACAACCCAAATGCCATCAAGAGGTGAACGGTTAACTAACAGGAGTACCTCCACACTAGGCAATATCACTCTGCAATAAAAAGAAATGAATTATTGATATATGCAACAACTTGGATGGATCTCAAGGGATTTGTGCTTAGTGGAAAAAAAAAAACAATCTCAAAAGGTTGCATGCTGTATGATGCCATTTAAGTAACATTCGTAAAATGACAACATTAGAGAGATGGAGAACAGAATAGTGCTGCCCTGGGGTTAGGGAGCAGGAGAGACTGTGGCAATAAATGTACAGCAGATTCTATATCCTGATTGTGGTGGTGGTCACATTAATCCACACAAGTGATGAAACTGCAAAGAACTACACACACACACACACAGAGAGAGAGAGAGAGAGAGAGAGAGAGAAGCACGAGTGCCGGTAAAACTGAGGAAATCTGTTGGTGGACCCTATCACTGTCAATTTCCTAATTGTGGTGTTATACTACAGTTTTGCAATATGTTACTATTGGGGGAGACTGGGTAGAGTGTGTACAGGATCACTCTGGATTATTTCTTACAATTGCATGTGAATCTACCATCATCTCAGGATGATAGATAGATAGATAGATAGATAGATGGATGGATGGATGGATGGATGGATGGATGGATGGATGGACGGACGGACGGACGGACGGACGGACGGACGGACACACATACAAGCAGGTTGAGGAGCATATCTATCTATCTGGAGCACTTTTTCTTTCCAAGGAGACTAAATGAAAGAGGAACACAGCCAGCTTCATTCAGACATTCTGCACAGAGCCCTGAATATCTTATTAAAGAGATCCAAGGGCCCTTCCTGGGACTCACTGTGCCATCTCTGCTGCGACACACAACTGTCCTTACATAAAATCTCTGTCTGGAGCTTCGGAGACCATGGGATCCTCTTCAGGAATCTCGTTAAGAGCTTGGTTGCATGTCAGAATTGAACCACTACTGCCTGGAACACAAATTTCATTCAGAAAGCCAAAAACCTGTCCCATGACAGTATCTCTATAGAAGAAAACTGGACCATTAGCTGATATAAATTACATCTATATAGGGACATCTATATATTTGTATTAACCAGAAGGCCACCTTCAGAAAATGATGTTCTGAGCGGCTAGAACAATTATAAGAATGCCCTGACCTTCCATTTTCTCTTCTTCGTATTTTTCTTAGTTTTCAGCCATATTTTTGTTGCAACCTAAAAACCATACAAATGCTGATTTGTTACATGTATAGGCATCATAGTAGCTACGGTTGTATACCCACACCATTCTCTTAAGCATACTCATCATTTCTCCCAAGTGTCATATAAATTTCAACCCATTAAATAAAATGATTTTATACTGTCCTTGTAGATGTTACTAACCCTCACCCCCACCAATGACATCACTGTTTCCATAGTAACTAATGTGCTTCAAAGTAGAAAATGCAGATGGTGGCTTTAAAAAAAAAAAAGGCAGAAAAAATAAGTGACAGATACCAAGCATATCACAGTGTAAGTGGTGTGCAAAACGTACCTGCTTTATAGGCACCCACTCAGGGTCAAGCAATAAATATTTTAGTAGAACCCTTATGCCAACAGATATTCTATATAACCATGGCCTATCCGATTACTCTATTGCCTTTGGAAAAGTGGCTGCCGAATTCAGCGTGCTTACCCTTCAGAATTTGCATGTGGGTAGAAGTGTGTGTTCAGAAGCAAGTGTGCAGATCACAGGCTGATTTTCAAAATAGAGTCACGTACTTCATAGATATGTTGTAATTATGCCTAGATAAGAAGAGCTATTTCAGAAATACTTCAATGCCAGGAAGAATGACTGCAACTATTCACAAGAGAGAAATGGATAAAACTGGTAAGGAGGAAAAAAAGCCCAAATTCTTATTTCCTAAGTGTAAGAAAAAAATTATAAAATCTCCAAGAAATGCAACATTTCTCTCTTTAAGCATAAGGTCCTTTTGATGAAGCATGGGTACTTTTTCAGTTACTATAAGTATTTCATTGTTTAGATGTCTGTGAATGAAAATTTTTCTGGGCATGAAAATCTACGCTTTGAGTTGTGAGAAAGACGGCTAAGAGATGACAGTTCTGGATGGTTTGACATAAAATGAGAATCTGATTTTAAAACATAACAGAGTGTGGTAGGAATGCTGATCTGTCCCTGTCACGATGCCATTCTTAACACTGTCTGCATACCGAGCGGAAGCTTCAAGTGTCCCATCATCTAGTCTCTGAGCTGTAGGGGCCAATATTTAGAAGACCATGAGATGACACCATGCCCTGCAAACAGTCCATGAGCTAATTTCTTCTGATGGCATTTGGCTACTACCAAGGACAGTGAACACATCTGCAATCCTGGAGCCCACTGAAAAGGCCTAAATCGCCCTGGCGCAGTGGCTCACGCCTGTAATCCCAGCACTTTGGGAAGCCGAGGTGGGCGGGTCACCTGAGGTCACCTGAGACCAGCCTGGCCAACAGGGTGAACTTCGTCCCTACTAAAATACAAAAATTATCCAGGTGTGGTGGCACGTGCCTGTAATCCCAGCTATCCGGGAGGCTGAGGCAGGAGAAGCACCTGAACCCGGGAGGCAGAGGTTGCAGTGAGTTGAGCACCACTGCACTCCAGGCTAGGAGACAAGAGCAAAACTCCGTCTCAAAAAAAAAAAAAAAAAAAAAGGCCTAAATCCCTACTTCAGATGCCACCTGATGATGGTTTCATTTCTGGGATACCAGATCTTGCCTCATGTTGTCAGCACAGTTCTCTCTGTTCCGGTGCAGCCTCACCTAAGGAAAGCCCTGAGATTCTAGTCCTTCCACAGGATGCTCCCTGTGTGGCCCCATCACCTGGTAAATGGAGAGCTGGAAGGGTGGCTCCATCCAAACACCTGACTCCCTAACTTTTGGCTGCAGGCTTAGATCAGACTACAGGTCTCAGATTTTTTTGTAGGTTCATTGAGCTACTAGCTTCCTAAAACGCCTCCTTCTATAGACCACACCCCTTTTTGCAAAAACCTGTAACTCCTTTATGCCCACTAGATTGAGCCTAGCCTTCAAAACCTTCCCTTACCTGACTGGACCTTCCAGCCAAGGGAGTTAGTTACCTCCTTCCCCTTCCCAAAGGCCTTCCCTAAAATTTCCTCCCTTCCTCTTCACTGCTGTGGAGCCTCTGTTTCTGCAGATCCACTTCAATTTTCTCCTCTGTGACTTGAATGGACTTCTACATTCGGCCACCATACCACTCTCTGAAGAATATCAAACCTTGCAGTGATGTCATGAGCAAAAGTACCACAACGTAAGCGTCTTTATAGCGATTTCTTGTGTTTTGATATGCTGGGTCCCCAGTATCTAGAAGAGTGCCTGACAAGTCACAGAAGCTCAATAAATAGGTCTTGAATTAATAAAGTAGCTTCAAAGAACACGAACATCTTAAAATTTTTAAGGTTAAGAGAGATTAGAGAGGGAGGTCTGATATCAAAATTTTAAAATATATACAAGGAGAACAGCCATCATCGTTTGAAGAAGGTTCACACCAACTTAATTAAAAGATTAAACAGCTACTTAAGTGGTTAGGAGACAACATAAAATATAAGGGAAAAGATTCTTTCACATCAGAATTCAATTTAATGCCTCAGATCAATAAAAACTATCTTAAAGATCAAGAAATAAATCAAGTCACATAAGTTGCACATAATAGAGAATGACTTCAGGAAAGTGTTCTGTTTCTGTGAAAATGCAGAAGAAACTTATGGTATTGAGGTTTCTCATTCAATGGATTTGAATCAGATCCATTTGGGTCAAACAGCAGAACCCCAAACATATCGGCAAAAGTCAAATATCTGTAATGAGCTGTGATGGTTAGTGTGTGTGGGCAGGCAATGTGAATACAGAAAAGGCCTGTGATCCCACAGGGCAGTCCCTCTACCATAGGCCACATCCATGCTGGACAGCAGAGAAGAGCGCACCAGGGCTCCCTGCTGGGTCACCTGTGAGGTGCTGTGCAAAACAAAAGCAGGCCTACTCAGTGGACTGGCTGGGAGAAAAGACTCACAGTAAAGAGAACAGTTCCAGTTGAGAGGCCTCCGGAACCTACCACTTATCCAGAGCCCATGCTTGCCAGCCTCAGATCTGCAGGAGGGGCCTGCTCAGATAAAGAAGTCAGCCTCCAGCTCTAGGTAGCTTGACTAGATTTAATTTGTGCTTAATTATAGGAGATACCTGTAAGGAATTCTTTCAAGTACTTTATATTAAAACACCTGCTTGACCCCTGCTCATGGTGCTAAGGCTGACCACGGGATTGAGATGGGTGGTAACATCCAGACCGCTCCATGTGAAACAGACATTTGCTCCCTTGAAGTTGGCAGTCTGCGTTGGTGCCCTTTTAACAGATGAGGCACTTGCCAAAATCCTGACTAGGCTGTAACTTGGTTACCAGTGATCACAGTCACTAGCGTTTATTGAGCATCCGCTATGTGTACCTGACACACTTTATCTCATTTGGTCCTTTAGAGGCAGACTAAATGAACTTTCCCAACTGGGAAGGTTGGGCAATGCCACTCCTGGGAGTGAAAGCTGAAGACAAGAATTTAGCAGGAGGTGGCTTTTAAAAATTAATTTATAGAAATAGAGAAGGGGTTTCACCATGTTGCCCAGGCTAGTCTAGAAGTCCTGGGTTCAAACTATCTGTCCACCTTGTCCTCCCAAGGTTCTGGGATTACAGGTGTGAGCCACCACGCTCAGCTGAGGTGGCATCTCTGGGATCTAGAGATCTGAGACCACAACTCTAAGAATTCTTTAAGATTCTAGAGCAGGGGTAGCAAACCTTTTCTGTAAAGGCCAGATAGCAGCTATTTTAGGCTTTGCAGGCCATATTACTTGCAGGCAATATGGTTTCTGTCACATGATGATGATAATATATACATAAATCAGCATGGCTGTGTTCCAATAAAAGTTGACTTACAAAAGTAGAGAGCAGGCCAGGTTTGGCCCATGGGCTATAGTTTGCCAACCCCTGCTCTAGAATCACTGTCACTGCTTCATGTTTATTACCTGATTTTCAGTCATCCTGTGTTTCTCTATTGTGAGTTACGGCAAAACCTTCAAAGCAAAACACGGACTGAGCAACTGTCTCCAGGGACCGATGGAAGGAATGACAGAGAATGAGGCTAAGACTTATCACACACAAGTGCTTCCCAGGCAGTAACTCCTTTCACGCTCAGGAGAGCCCTCTGTGGCAGGTACTTTAATCATCTCCAACTGACGGGGGAGGAACCAACCTAGGTTTACGTCACATGTGACGGGCAGAGCTGGGATTGGAATCCAGGCAGTCTCTTGCTCCAGAGTCCAGTTTTTACCCTGTGGAGAGAGTAAACTGGAAAGGCAGTGCCAACATCATGCCATGGAGCTGGGGGAGGAGACCATGATCCACAGTGGGAGGGGAGGGTCAGAGGAAAGGGAGGCAGGAGTGGCTTCATAACAGAAGTGCAACTAGGATCTCCTACAATGAGCTACAATGTGGGACAACACTGCCGCCCCTAAAGGACTAAATGAGATGACATGTGTCAGGTACACACAGCGGATGCTCAGTAAATGGTAGAGATCACTGGTAACCAAGTCAGAGCCTACTCAGAATTTCAGCAACTGACTCATCTATTAAAAGGGCACCAACACAGACTGTCTGCCAACTTCAAGGCGGCAAATGTCTGTTTCATGTGGAGTGGTGTGGATGTAACCACCCATCTCAACCTCATGGTCAGCCTTAGCACCATGAGCAGGGGTCAACCAGGTGTTTTAATACAATGTACTTGAAAGAATTCCTCACCAATTATCTCCTCTAATCAAGCAAAACTTAAATCTAGTCAAGCAAAAGCTAACTTCCATTGCACAGGAAATACAGAGAAAAGAGACAAGTTAAATGAAACCACGAGGAAATAATCAGATACATTCAGAATACGAAACATTACAGAAGATGTTCTGTGGAATGACAACTGACCCAACCCCTTCAAAAAGTTAACCTAGTGGGGAAAAAGTGGGGAAATTATTCCAGATGAAAGCTCTACAGCGATGATCGGAGCGGCATTATTCACAATAGCCAACATGTGGAAGCAACGGAAGTGTCCATCGACAGACGACTGGATAAGCAAAACGTGGTCTATACATACTATGGAAAATTCAGCCTAAAAAGGAAGGAAATTCTGACCCAGCCCCCAACTTGGATGACCTGTGAGGACATTATGCTGACTGAAACAAGCCCGTTGCAAAAGGACAAACACTGTATATGAGGCCCTAGGGTAGTCAGAATCATAGAGATAGGAAGTGAACAGTGGTGGCCAGGGCTGGGGGAAGGGGAGTGGGCAGTGATCTTTAATGGGTATGGAGTTTCCCTCTGGGAAGAAGAGTTCCAGAGGTAGATGGTGGTGATAGTTGCACAACGTTGTGAATATACTTAATGTAGGAGTCCCCGCTTATCCAGAGTTTCACTTCCAAGTTTTCAGTTACCTGAGGTCAACTACAGTCAGAAAATAGTGAGCAACAGTAAGATGTATTGAGAGAGACCACATTCACATAACTTTTATTACAGCATATTGTTATAATTATGTTGAATTATTATTGTTGTTAATCTTACTGTGCCTAATTTATAAATTAAACTTTATCATAGGTATATACATATAGGAAAAACCATATCATATATAGCATTTAGTACTATCCAAGGTTCCAGGCATCCATATCAGGGGTCTTGGAACATATCCCCCAAGAGCAAGGGGGACTACTACACCACTGAGTTCACTGTACACTTCAAAATGATTAAGATGGTAAATTTTATGTGTAATTTTCCACAATAAAGAAAAAAAACAAAGGAAATGACACAAAATCATAGAACAAATGAAATGTATGATCTTGAATTGGTTTGTGGCTGTTTATAAACAAATAAATAGTTCCAGAGAAAGCTAGGTATAGAGCTAGAAATGGCAATTGCGATAGAGATATTTTGGGAACATTTTGGAGAAATCTGATATGTAGGAAGTATTAATTGAAATTAGGGACTACTTAATTTTGTTAGGAGTGATAGTAGGGTTGCAGTTTTATAGGGAAATGACCATAGTTTATGAAGAGGTATACTGAAGTATTTAGGTGTGAAGTGTCATCATTTCTATAATTTACTTTAAAATGGTCCTGAAATAAAGTATGTATGTATGTATGTGTGTGTGTGTGTGTGTGTGTGTGTGTGTGTGTATGAATGTAGCTGTATATATGAAGCAAATGTGTCAAATCTTAACAACTAGTCAGTCCTAGGTGGTGAGTACATGGGTGTCCACTGTACTATAATTTCTACTTTTTTGTTTCGTCATAATAGAATTAAAAACAAAAGTGGGGCAAAATTGCCCCACAGATGTCCCAGGGTTGCTGTCAGTCTGAAATGACATAATCCCACAACACTGAAACTGGCTGAACACTCCACACATGTAAGATGGCATGGTACTCACTTTTGTTTTCGAGGAGAAAACTGACACCCACAGTAAATAGATGGCTCTCCCATCAGCATCTTTTGGCAAACATCAACATGTTACTCAGCGCTGTGGAATACTTTTTGAATAAGGTAAATGTAATTTTGCACTAAAATTTTGAAAAATGATCGCTTGTTGAACAAGTAAACACTAATTAGAGTGTCTGTTCACACTGACACAGAACACTCTGTAATTTTGTGGGAATTGTTATGGCAGAAATATTACATAATGGCCCATGTGTTTGAGTGGCTGGCTGTTCAAATCAGGAACGCAGGTGAGTGCTGAGCACGCAGGTAGCTGCATGCCAGGAGCAGGGGCCCTGTGACCAGCCCTGGAATGTATAACAGGTCTTTTTCAGAGCACTCTTGTCACTTACAGACGCCACCATGCCCTAAAGGGGAGGAAGGGAACAGAGAACAGATTCTCTGGCCCTGGTGAAGTTATTCTCTGGTCCCAGTAAAGTCATGTTCAATGTTCATTACCTTTTCCCTCAGTTTAAAAGAGAGAGTGAGAACAGTGTTCTCTCACAGGTGGTAACATGTTAAAATAATATCAACACACTCAAGACACTGAAGCATTCAGCTGCGAATTTTTTCAAGGCGTGGTGTGATCAAAGAGAAGGGAATTTAGAGCTGGAACCAAGAGACTCAAGATCAAACACTAGCTGTGCCAACTTGGGCTTGGGCACGTTCTTTCTTTCTTCTTTTTTCTTTTCTTTTTTTTTTTGAGACGGAGTCTCATTTTGTTGCCCTGGCTGGAGTGCGGTGGCATGGTCTCGGCTCACTGCAACCTATCCGCCTCCCGGGTTCAAGTGATTCTCCTACCTCAGCCCGCCGAGTAGCTGGGATTACAGGCAACTGCCACCATGCCCGGCTATTTTTTTGTATTTTTAGTAGAGAAGGGGTTTCACCACGTTGGCCAGGCTGGTCTCGAACTCCTGACCTCGTGATCTGCCCGCACTGGCTTCCCAAAGTGCTGGGATTACAGGCGTGAGCCACCGTGCCCATCCAGCACATTCTTTAACTTCTAGAAGTGAGCCCTATTTCCTTATACGGAAAAGAGAAATAATGACATCTACTGCATGGGATTTGTGTGAGAGTTCGATCAGACTGCTTGTGTCCTCCCGGGCACACACCACATCCTCGACGAAGGCAATTCCCCTTTCCACAGAGGATTTGACTCCCCACATCTTTTGTGACCAATCCCTTGAACTCATCATCCCATTTTGTAATTCTGAAAAGCAAAACAATGAAAAGAAATGAGCAACCAGAATTTGTATCAGCAAAACAAAACCATAAGCAACCTACCATACAGAAATAGGGAAATGGAATACAATGGAATATTACACAATCTTTTCAAATGTTGCTAGACATTTCCCAGTTAAAATGGTAGAATTAAACCTCTGTATAAAATCTCACTCTTCCTAAATTTGAATTAAAAAAAAATTAAACCTGAAATAAAACACTTATCAGCCAAAAAAAAAAAAAAAAAAAACCAAAAAAAAACAAAATGAGCACACCCCAGTGTCATAAAGTCAAAAGGTGCCTGGGAAATAAAATAAAGGAAAAAGAATCCAGTGTGGCAAGGCTCAGAGCCCTGAGTCAAACACCCTCAGGAAGACAAAACAGTGAATAAATAAACATTCTGAGAGTTTTCATCAATATCACCACATCTAGAAAAAAACACCTGAGTAGTTATCCCTATATTCTCTTCTTCTGACTAGGGAAGAGAGAAAACATCTGCTGGGGAGAAAAGGATGAGATGATGCATAAACCGTGGTGTTGATCATCTCTGCTGCAAGGAATGAAGACTCTGGGAGTCCAACGTGAAACCCAAGGCTGACCCGAGGCCACAGAATACTGCCAGAGGGTGTGCAGTGTGTGCCCCCCACACAGGAAGACCGAACCCACTTAAAAGGGCCTTCAAAAGATCCCACAAGTGAAAGCTGCCAAGACCACATCTAGCCAAGCCTACTCAGCACCCAGCATACGACCTGCTACAGCTCAACTGGCCCAAGACATTTCATAAGTCTTCAGGCTACAGAAAGCATGAACAGAAACAAAAAACCAGCCTTCAAACTTCAGCTTGGTAGCAAGAAGAAAAAAGATAGCCTTCAAATAAATAAATCAAAGAAAGATATAGCCTGATTTACTTCAGCAAGAATAAAATGAAAAACCACAAGGCATGGTTATCTTTAAACACAGACTCCTGGAAAGGCAAGAAAGCAACAGTAGGTGTCAAAGACAAAGAACTCAAAATAAAAGAAAACGTAACTCAGCCAGAGAAAGATACCCCCCAAAAGATCTTTGAGCCATAGAACTTAATAAGAATATGAGTTCAATACATCAAGAACCCAAAGACAACATCTAAAAAAGGGAAAAAAAAAAGATTGTAGATCTAAAGAAATACGTTGAAAACTAAAGCCAACCCTAGAAAATAAAGATATGAAACAGAATCTACACAGGACTAAAGAAAGATGGTTTAAAATCAATTTTCTGACTAGAGGAAAGCTAAAAATAAACATGGTGAATGCAGATAAAAAAAAGGGATTCAAGTAATCGAAGCAAAACAGACAACTATGGAGTTCAAAGACAATGTAACATACAGACAATTGGTGCCTTACAGCAGAGAATTCACTGCATAGAACCCAGTGTTTGAAGAGATAATACAAAGAAATTCTCCCAAAACTAATAAAGAATTGCATCTGTTGATTGAAAATACACATCCAGTTCCAAAAACTATGACACACATCACACAGCAGTAATATACATCAGAATTAAATTATCTGTCAAATATTAAGAAAAGATTCCTCATATATCTAACCTATAGGCAATAATAAATTATCTCTAAGGGAGGAAAAATAAGGCTGGCCTTGGACACTTCTACAGCAACATTTAGTAGCAAAAGATAGTTACTTCTTTCCAGTTTTACTGAAGTCTTCTGTTAAGTTTCAGTGAAATTAAACTTACTGCTATTTTTAGAACATACATTTTATAAGTATATCTACTCAGCCAGTCATTTTTCCATGTATAAGAATAGAAAGAACTCTAAAATGATATATTCCTAATAATAACAAGAAATTCTTCTTCCCTTTCCCCAGAATTCATACCTTGATATAGACTAGACGAACGTCCACCTTCTGGAAATTAACAGAGAAAAAGCATCTGCTCTTCTAACTTCCCCACTCAATCCTCCCCAAAGGGAAGGATTGGCAACTTACTCGATTCACAGAATTGCAAGCAGGAAGCTGGCAAGCTTGCCCTGACCCCCTTCTCCCCCAATTCTGTGAACAGCCCTCAGGATGCACATATTCTCTGCTCCTCCAGGAGGTAAGCTTACCTGAGCAGGTGAGCATCTGCAGGGACAAAGCCTGCAGTTCTGCCTTGGAAGAGTTTTATTCTGAGAACAAAGTAGTGAAAAGAAGCCTGAATCTGGACACAAACAGAGTTTTCCAATCCAAACTGCAGTTTTTTCCACACAACCCCCAAGATGATGTTTTAAACCCCTGTGGCTGGCTGGGGTGTCTACTTCCCAAATGATCCTTTCTTTGTTGTTGTTGTTGAAATAGTGTCTCACTCTGTCACTCAGGCTGGAGTGCAGTGGCACTATTACGGCTCACTGCAGCCTCAATCTCCTGGTCTCAAGTGATCCTCCCACCTCAGTCTCCCAAATATCTGGGAGACTGGGTGGTGGCATGCAGCACCACACCCAGCTAATTTTTTAATTTTTTTTTTTTTCCTTTGAGACAGAGACTGGAGTGCAGTGGCGCCATCTTGGCTCATTGCAACCTCTGCCTCCTGGGTTCAAGCAATTTTCCTGCCTCAGCCTCCTGAGTAGCTGGGATTACAGGCATGTGCCACCATGCCTGGCTAATTTTTTTATTTTTAGTACAGACAGGGTTTCACCATGTTGGCCAGGCTGTTCTCAAACTCCTGACATCAACTGATCCACCCACCTCGGCCTCCCAAAGTGCTGGGATTACAGACATAAGCCACCATGCTCAGCTAATTTTTAAATTTTTTGTAGAGACAGGGTCTCCCTATGTTGCCCAGGCTGGTCTCAAACTCCTGAGCTCAAGTGATCCTCCCACTTCAGCCTTCCAAAGTACTGGGATTACAGGCACGAGCTACCATGCCCGGCTCCCAGTGGATTCTTAATTAGAAGGGGCTAGAGTGAGGGCAGAGAGGAAGGTGCGGTTAACGGTCACTTCTCAAACCCCACCACCAGTCATGATTATTTCTGAATGGGGGATTTTGAATTTTTAAAAACATTTTTATATAAACTTTTCTTCATGATGAATATGTATTGTTTTATAAAAACAATAAGGTCATTTTTCATTTGAAACTATGACAGCAGAGAAGAACATCTGATGTTACAGAAAAGCCATGAGAATGATTTAGAGGAAAGAGTAGGTTCCTAAACAGAATTTATAGTGAGATCCAATTTTATTACTTTTTAAAAATCACGACAGTAGCACATACTGCAGAGAGGCACGGGCTGAGTACTTTGGATGGATTCTCTCATTTGGTATTCACAAGATCATTGAAAGTATAAATATCATCCCAATCTTAGAGATGAGGAAATTGAGAATTAGAGAGGGAAAGCTAAATGCCCAAAGCCACACAAGACTAACCAGCCCCAGACATGGACTTCAAAGACCCCAAAGCCCACATCCTTTACCACCGTGTGGGCCTGGAAGTCACGCATCAATGCAGGTAGACGGAGAGAGACTTAAAGGACTCACGCCAAAATGTTTACAGTTTATCTCCAGGTTCTCTGAATTATGGATTTTTTTTTATGTTATCTATGTTTATTTGTATTTTCCAAATTGTCAACACCACATATATTCCTTGTGTAATAAGTAAAACAGTAAAGTCTTTATATTAAAAAAAAAAAAAAAAAAAAGCCGGCTGGGTGTGGTGGTTCATGCCTGTAATCCCAGCACTTTGTGAGGCCGAGCCAGGTGGATCACCTCAGGTCAGGAGTTCGAGACTAGCCTGGCCAACATGGCGAAACCCCAACTCTACTAAAAATACAAAAATCTGCTGGGCGTGGTAGTGCACTCCTGTAATCCCAGCTACTAGAGAGGCTGAGGCGGGAGAACTACTTGAACCCAGGAGGCAGAGGTTGCAGCGAGCCGAGATCCCACCAATGCACTCCAGCCTGGGCGACAGAGCGAGACTCCATCCCCTCAAAAAAAAATTTAAAAAAAAAGCACGAACTTGAAGTTGAAGCTAGCACTAGAGCCAGGCGATGAATAGATAAAGACACAGACATAGGATGCTCACAGAGCTTTCCAGCTAGCTCAGCCAGCGCTTGGATCGGCCGGCCACAGGCTTGGAGCAACAGCGCAGAAATGCTTCCTGACCTGACTCACACAACCTTTCACACAGTCCTTGAAGCTGAAAGGAAACCTCCACAGGCCTCCCAGCCCCCAGAACACCCGGGGCCTCCGCCCAGTCACCAGGCAGCTCCACTCACAGGCTACCTTCCTTCCCAGGCCCCGGTGACTACCTATTCCAGGGAGGAGTGGCCTCTCTCAGCAGCCTGCCAAGCTCTTCCCAAGGAGAACAGGAGGGGAAGTTTGAAGGGCCTTCATCCAATTTTTAAACTGTAAACTGCACACCCACTTTTTGTTTGGAGACATTTCCTGTGTGTGAACACAGTTTGTTCTGTTACCAGCTTTAAAGTTATCCAGAACTGATACATCCGAGGCCAAGCAAAAGTGGTTTTATTTAAAAAAAAAAAAAAAGTCAAATATAATAGGACCTTTCCTAATGTTAGCTCATCTTGCAAGAATCTAATTTGTACATATGCAAAAGAGAGGTTTAATACAGAGGTGTCATTTTGTCCTCAGGCCCAGGACCCTATATTTGCCCCCCTCCCATGTGGCACCCATACTGGTGAGCACAGCATTCCAGTACAAGAAGCATTCTGCATCCTTCAGCCCCTTGGCCTCAGCATGCGAGGAAGCTGTGCTTGCTTCTAGCTGAGTCTGAGCATGCCCTGGATGAAGGTCCCTCCACAGGCTAGCAGACTGACTTCCAGCCACATTTCACCACACCACTTCAAAGCAGGGGAGCAGGGGCAGAGGGATCCAAGCTTGGCCGAGAGAGATGCCGACAGCCTCCGCGCTGCTAACTGGAGTGGCACTCCACAGTGCCAGCCCTGACATGCCCCAGCCCGGCTGTGGCCCTGGGTTTCCAGCCCTCCCCTTCTCCATCCCAGGTTTCCAATCACATGCTGCCTCCAATGACTCTCCGCAGCCAGCCTCTCACCAACGGTTCCACTTGACATCTTGCTACCCTCGGATCTATCCCCAACCAAGGTTGAGAAAATTATTTTATATCTCCGACCAGTCTACCCAGGCCCATCTCCCACCCTGGCCCAATGCTTTGCTTCTATTTTTAGTCTGGTCTATTGTAATACAACTAGACCAGACATGAGGCTTCCAGAGGGCTTGGCTGCCACCTGGCCCAGGACCTGAAACGTCCTAATGAATGAGTCATTAATGAAAAAATTATAAACATGTCATCTCCCCCCCCACGATAAATCAACTCCATGAGGGCCAAGAACATGCCTTACTCAACTCTATATTGCTCGCAGCACTTAAGGAAGTTGTCGAAGTTAATTAGTTTGGCAGAGATCAAGCTGACATTTTTTTTTTCTTTTTTTTTTTTTTTTAAAAAAAGGAGCCTGTGCAGAGAAATTCTGGGAACCATATCACTCCTACCCCCACCAAAAAAACCACAGAGATGGATGAGATTAGAATGCAGATGTCTGGTGCTAACTTAATACATACCTGGCCAAATCTGAGACTGGCTGGCACAGCGCACAGTGATAAAGTCTCTTTTGGTCTCACTGAATCGGATAGGGCTTCAGGAAGGAGACAGAGCCAGCTGCAGATTTTACCAGCCCTGATTCCTGCTAAGGAATCCTGGGTGTGAGGGATGGGAACATGGATGAGTACCTATGTACATACACACAGTAAATACACAAACACATATTCCTCACCCACATATCTGTCTAGGATTTTTTTTTACATGCATTCTCCTTAATCAAATGACATGACTATCAGTCCAATCCCAGCATTCGGCTAGGCCCAGGAAGAGAAAATGATGTGTTTGAAGCTAACGAATCATCCAACTAGGTTCATTCCTGCAAGTCTAATCACCACCACCCCAGAGAGTAACATGGTTACCTTCTTACAGAAAGGAAACAGGGACTGTCCGCATTTCTGTGAAGATTGAAATGATATCTTTGGGTATGAACGACTCTCTTACGAATATCCAACAATCCTCCTACCTCACCCAAACACTTAAGAAGACAGAGTTTGCCTTTGTTTTCTTTGTACACACAGACTGTTTTAGGATCCTTTGCTCTTTTCTTCTCTGGTGTTATGAATTGATTTGTTTTCCCCAAAAAGATAAACTGAAGTCCTAACTCTTAGTGCCTGTGAATGTGACCTAATTTGGAAACGAGGACTTAGCAGATGTAAGCTAGTCACATGAGGTCATTAGGGTGAGCCCTAATCCAATGTGACCGGTGTCCTTAGAAGAAGAAGAGAGAGAGACGCGGGGGAAACACCATGTGACAGCAAAGGCAGAGATGGGAGTGATGCAGCTGCGAGCCAAGGAATCCAAGGACCCTTGGCCACCCCCACATGCCATGAAGAGGCAAGGAAGGGTTCTACGCAGGGTCTAGGAGGGAGCACGGCCCTGCTGATGCCCTGATTTCAGACTTCTGGCCTGCAGGACTGTCAGACAAAAAATTTGTTTCAAGCCACCCAGTTTGTGGTAATTTGTTACAGCAGCCCTAGTTAATGAATAGACCTGGTTTTTTCCTTCTGAAATGCCTACCATCTCATCCACCCTCTCCCCTCCAAGCCCATGTCCACCTCACCAACAGATAAACTGTGAAAGTCACTTTCTCACTTATAATATGACCCAATTTTGGTCTAGCATCTGAGATATTGAAAATGTTAGGGAATAATCCTACTGTCCTACGAACTCTACAAAAGGAAAAGTTTAAATAAAATGTCAAGTCCCCACTTATTCCTGTTCCCAAATAAAGTACAAAAGAGCTCAGAATTAGTCCAGGAAGGCAGGAATCACATACAGTCTGTGGTGAAAGGTGGAATTGGATCTGAAAGGCTTGTAAGAGACCACGCTCAGCTCCATTATCCACTGGATAGGGACAGCGGGTGGCCAACCACGGAGGGGGCAGAAAGGACACTGCCCATGGCAAATGCCTGCCGTGACAGTCCCACTCAGGAGTGGCCTAGGTCTTGACTCCCAGAGTCCCTACCCATGTGACTGTGACATCCTGTCAGGGACGGTGAGGCGTGACACTGATGGGGTCAGGGGCCAGTGGAGGGAGGTAGGAAGAAAACAAACAACCAGGACGTGACAGAGCGGAAATGAACACCTGTGACCATCACTGTTGGGCTCACCGGGTGCAAAAAGCAGCACCAAGGCGACAGACCTCAACAGGAGAACACTCAGCTTCCTTTTGGGGGATTTAAATGTGTCACTTGTCACACAAAATAGTTCCCCTGATAGCCTTGGGTGCCACAAGCCCTTGAGCTATTTTTAATCACCTCCCTGTCACTGTTATTTTTAAATACAAAAGTATTCCCCAATGAAATCCTAAGCATCAGAAGGCAAATAAATATAAATGTATATATATTATCTGTTCACTCCATTAAGGATAGGTAGGGTACCTCTTAGAAAGCATTAAGCCTATTTAGACAAAAAAAAAAAAAAAAAAGAGGAACATTTTAAAAGAGAATAAGAGAAGTGATTTTTCCCCAGTATTCACCAAAACAATATTTTTATTTATACTTGTTTATAATTGCTATTCCCAAAATTAAAACTATCAGTTGTCTTTCCTTCCTGGCTGCTCACCTGCTTATACCTGCCAGCGAATGTGAGCTGGCTCCGGAGGGTGGGGCTGCACATTTGGGTAAATGCCTCAATTCTGTGCCCTGATTTTGCCTAACATGAAAGCAATGAATGCAGAGATTCTACGATGTTATACTTAAGAAGACCTAAAAACAGGCCCACCCTGGGCCACAGAAACAATATGCCTGTTGGACAGTCGATTGCACATGTCCATCTCTAGAAATCGAACAAGGTTGTATTTGGATTTAGCCCAAGCACTGCTGGCTCCACGTGCCACTCTGAGCCTAGTGCAGCAAGGAGAACCTCCCCATCTGCTTCCATCAAGTGCAAGCTGCAAAGCTGCAAAACTGCTCACTGGCTTTTTGATCTATTTATATGCATCTCCTTGATGCATGTATACAGCTTGGCAAAGGTAAAGGAATGGTGCTAATTTATGGTTTTTGTTTCCAAAAGATATCCTCTCTTTGGCTGGCTGAGAAACTGTCACTGGCATGTTAAGCCTCCCAACCTACAAAGTATGTACCAGCACTGGGGAGGCGACACGACATGCCACACAATAAGTCAGGAGTCTTGCCCTCAGTTTTTTGCATAAGGACAGGAGAGGCTTCTCTGAAGCTCTTCTACATCTATTTCATGGGCCTGGCTCCCTTTAAGTTTCTTCTCCTCAATCATCACTCCGGCCAAAAAAATATGCTCCTTTCCTACATTTCAGGAGGAGGTTGGAAAGCTGAACTTGACCGTGTGGTGTGCTGTGCACCCCACGCATGTATAGCTTCAAGAAGAGGATGGTGTGATGTGCCACACTGGAATACATGCTGCTTATGCAAAGCATCCCACAAGACACAGTAAATTCCAAGTGCTATCACAGCAGCACTCTGAGAAATGAAACGGCCAAAGGATGGTGTCTGTCACAACCGGCAGTGGTTGTACTCACGGCCATCCCACTACACTGCACGAGCAACCTCGAAAGCCAACCTTAAGGGGGCCCTGCCCTCCACCACCCTGAAAGCTACAGTGACCACAGACCCAGGACAAGCCTCCTGTACCCCTGGAGAGAAGGGGAGCTGGTGCTGACAGCACAGCCAGCTGAGTTCCAGGGGGACAGCTCTAGGTGGCTCTGTGGATCTACTTTAAACAATTCTCTGACCCAAAAGCCAACAAAGAGATTAATCAGCCCCACTGTTTATTTTACAGGTTGGATCACCATAATTGAATCTTACATAATAAACACATATGGGTCCATGCTGCTTAGAAATTTTCATCTTCATTAAGGGAATTCTTAGCAGAGTAAACATAAGACTTTAGGTGCTGTATTTTATAGCTTATATAATCAGCTGAGGGCAGCTCTCCCAATTTCAACCTGCTTATATTCAAGGTGGTAATTTCTCCTTCTAATCAGCTGAAGTTGGGAGACAAATTCAACAATTAGAAACAGCCTGCCTATTTTACATAAGCCTCTTGCAAAGGGGGTGAAAGACAATAGCCATTCCCATTAATATTTTACAGTAGTCTTTAAATGAAAAACATCATTGTGACACTTCTCCCTACATCAACCTTGCAAGTGCAGAAATGGCGGTAAAAATAATCACTTCTAACTCCCTCAAATTCCTGTAGTTTTGTGAGCAGGGATTTAGTTTGCCTTCTATTATTTTCTCCGGAACTATTTGTTAAAAGCCTCATCAGCCCCTGCTCATTTCTTCACGCTCTGCACAACTAGAAATTTAGGTATCAATGGACGGAGAGCCAGAAGAGACTTTAGAGCTACCAAGAAAGTCTCAAGGCCTATCTGAACAGGTTCATTATCCAGACACCCAAAAGTTGTCCCAAAGGACAACCTGGCAGAACAAATGTGGTAGTCCCATCACTGCCTATGGGATGGGTTTATGGGCACAGCCTGTTCCCAGAATTTTCAGAGGGCAAAGATTTTAACCAAAACCAATGCTAAGGCTGAGGTGAGTGGATCACTTGAGGTCAGGAGTTCGAGACCACCCTGGCCAACATGGTGAAACCCCGTCTCCACTAAAAAAAATACAAAAAATTAGCCGAGTGGTGGTACGCGCCTGTAGTCCCAGCTACTGGGGAGGCTGAGGCAGGAGAATTGCTTGAACCCGGGAGGCAGAGGTTGCAGTGAGCTGAGGTCATGCCACTGCACTCCAGGCTGGGCAACAGTGTGAGACTGTCTCAAAAAAAAAATAAAAAATAAAAAAATAAGACTTCATCATTACAGTCAGTGGGCTCTCTGAGTCCATTACCAGATAACTTAAAATGCCACTTGGACTATTACGTCCATGAAAAGGAGAGTACTGAAAAGTCATGGCAGGGGTATTTATAAAGGAAATCATGAGGGCAAAAGGGAAAGATGAGTTCACACTTCTTCCTGCCCCACCCGCCCCACCCCACTGAAAAAAGTAGGGCTTGGCAAGGCACCGTGGCTCACACCTGTAATCCCAGCACTCTGGGAGGCCAAGGCAGGTGGATCACTTGAGTCCAGGAGTTCAAGACCAGCCTGGACAACATGATGAAACCACCCCACACCCCATCTCTACCAAAAAAAAAAATAAGAAAACTAGCCAGGCTTGGTGGTATGTGCCGGTAGTCCCAGCTACTTGGGAGGTTGAGGTGGGAGGATCATTTCAGCCTGGGACGTCAAGCTGTGATCCTGCCACTGCACTCCAACCTGGATGATAGAGCAAGACCCTGTCTCAAAATAACAACAACAACAAAAGTGGGGCTTATGGCAGCCTATGTTACTTTTTGCTTTTAAATATTTTCAATGTGTGTTGATTAGGAGGAATAAGTGCAACTATTGTCTAAGTTCAGGAAAGTACTAATGACCAACTATTCCGTGTTTAAAGAGGAATGCCCAGTCATATGGGAAATAACGAGGCTGTTAACACCGTTTCTACTAAACAATCGAGCTGCTAAGTCCTCAGTAAGGGCTTCCCTTTTCAGAGGCACTCGACTCAAAACCACAAAGAAGAACCGAAATAAAGAAGTTGGGAGTCACCAACTGCTGAGGTTCTGTGTACATCCAAGGGAATGTTTCCAGTCTCTGTGTTGTCACTGGAACTCATGGATGAAGGCTCCCCTGGCTTGCTCACTCCACACCTGTGGCTGCACAAGATTCAGTGCTTTACACACAATTCCTCCCTCGGCAAAGTCATCAGAGTGACCCGGCTTTGGGGCTCTGAGGTCTTCTGAGCACAGACTCTCTCCTGAAGCCTGTGGCATTTGAAGGTGAATCTAAAAACTCACCTAAAACATACACTGCCACCTGATTCACTGAGAAAGGCCCAATTCCTTCTCTATCCTTCGCAAGGACAGGTGTGACCAGACTGGGGGCGGGAAGGCTGCTTCTAAGACTACAGATGGAACGGGAGTGGTGTTGTGCAGAAGGTATGTCCGTAAGCCGAGATGGATGAATCCATGGGATGGGAAACCAGGTTGCAGGAACAGGTCCATTGTTCTGCTTATGAGAAACCAAAAAAAAAGACCAAGCGTGGGGAAATGCCCACAGACCTGCTTGCCAGAGTCCACTTAATACTGCAAGAGAACACGAGGTGAAGGCAGCAGACAAGACGTGAGACCTGAGCCCCTCTGGGCAACCAAGGCTGAGCTCTGCGAAGGCACGTTTTAAACAAGGCTGCCTGGAGGGCAGCATATGTCCACAACATATGTCCCTTTGTCCTCGCCCTCCTGACACCTCGGGCTCCCTTGAATTGGTCACTCAGCCTTTCAGCCAGTGAAGCAGAGCAAGCTTCAGGAGCCCAGATCACCAGTTTAGGAAACAGAAGCCTTGGCCTCACACAATATTCCAAATCCTCAGCTCCCTGGGAGGGACTTTTGTTGGTGCTAATGTCAACGAGCAGGGTTATACCATTACTGTTAAAGCAACTGTGGAATACTGTACCCTATGAGAAGTACTCTATCACATGACTATTTGTTTAAACCTCACAACCATCTGTAAGATAAGCTTGATCATTATCCCCATTTTTCAGATGAGGCTATTGAGGCTCGAGTAAGTGAAGTTGCCAGGAGCTGGGAAATAGCAAGTCTAAGTTCAAATCCAGGTCTTCCAACTCCAAGTCCAACATTCTTTCCACCTACCCTCAGCCTTCAGCACCCAGTGGCCACAGACCACAGCAAGAGATACTGAGGACCTCCCAAAGTGAAGCATCAGGGTACCTGCCCCGCCCAGCCAGTCCTGCCTGCCCTGCTTTAACCTCCTTCAAGTACCCATGGACTGTAAATGATCAACATGAATCACCATTCCTGCAGTGGGCTCCTCTCCCATGTGACTAATTTTTATAGCATCTTTAAGATGAAATGGATTGCTATATTTATAAGGGAATAAACAGAATTAGCAACTGATATTTAGCTTATTACTTGCCCTTAAAAACTTTTTACCTCCCAGACAAAAATGTCCATGTAGAATAGGAAACTACTTGAATATGCAATTCACTAAACCAAAACTAAAGTTTAATTGAAATAATTTTATTTCTCATTGGTTGGGGCTACACGGTTATTATGTTTGCAGTAAATATGCATAACCATATTATTATTAATAGTAATAGCTAATATTTCCTGGGCACTCACTATGTGCCAGATATTGTTCAAGGTGCTTTACATGTACTGACTCAGTTCATCCTCACAGCAAAACAGAGGGTAGGTACTATTATAACCCCAGTTATAAAATGAAAAATTGAGGTACACAGAGATTAAGTAAACAGCTCAAGGTCACAGAGCAGGTAAGGGGAGGACATAGGCATGAATCCCAGTCTTCTAACACTCATCGAATAAGCGACAGCTGCCACAGACACTTGCCTTTCTCCACCTTGGAACTGTAATCATTTAACTTGGAGTTTTAACCATTAAGCAATAATTTGTCTCATGCTAACACATAAACACTTAGGCTACATAAAATACAAGTGTCTTTGAATCACATCAATTCATTTATCCTATGAGCCAAGGTCCATGATTCCACTGTTTTTCCTGTTTATATCTGTTTTCCAGATACAGACATAGAAACCGAAAATAAAAATGAATTGAAAGAGTAAGGATGCTATCTTTCTGGCCTACAGATTACCAAAGGCATTTCCGAGAGGCAAGAAAATACCGAGATTTTCTTCAGGGGAGAACGGTTCCAAATCCATGTGTCAACCATACAGTCAAAGTTACCATTGAAATGTCCCTTCGCACCTTCAAAAAGTATGGCATACAATATTCATTGTATGCAACGCTGTACACAAACACGTATGTAAATATGCAATGCATGCGGCAATGTACAGAATAGAGTACATATGCAGAAGAGAAGTACTTTGACTCCACTTTAGAGAAACATGCTTATTAAATGATGCATGTAGTGAAATCTGCGCGAGTTGGAACTAAAGCCAGAGAAATGCAGCTAGTAGGGAGTTTTATTCTTCACTCTTTCTGCATGAAATGCAGCTGTATCCTCATCATTTTTGCAATACTACCCTTGTTCATCCAGGCCAATCTGCTAAGAGAATACAGTCCCTGATCAAGGCAGCACCTCAAAGTTTGCTTTTAGGTGTGCAAAATAAATTCACAGAGACCCTGTTGGTGGGGCTGCCTTTGCCCAGCAGTTCACCAATGACTTCGTGCAAGAAGCAGCCCATGCAGCATAACAGAAAACACGATTCCAGCAGCACCCAAGATGAGCTGCAAATGCTGGGCAATTGATTAGCAAGGCGGTGCCACTGCAGAGAGGCCTCTTGGCGATCCTTTTCATAAGGTGTCTAAAATTGAATGAGGGGAAGAGTTAACAAAATGCAGGATAGAGCCCTCGCTCATTTTACAACTCATTCAGTTTCTTCTATTGTTAAATACACCAACAAAAACCCCCTCACAAACAAAGATAAATACACAAACCTGGCTGAAAAGAATTTTCAGAAACACCTTTTTCCCTTAATAATTATTAACATTTTGAATCTAGCTATAAGGAAAAAAAAAATCAAGGTAATTTTATTTCTTACTACCTGGGGCTACATAGTAATTATGGAAATGGCAAGGAATTTTGTCACTTTGAGTAAGCATAAGTGTATAAAATAATTTGATTAAATAAAATACGGTTACCTTAGTCATCATAGTAATTTGACAAGGACTTTAAAAATGTCTCTCTCTGTTGAAAATGTCAACAGACAGTTTCCTGAGCTGTCTGCTTCTGGGTTGAATATGCAGAAACTCATCTTCGAAATGATGTTTCTTTAGAAAAAAAAAAGGAGTAACAAACCTAGCAGTTTCGCCTCACCCATTAATTGCAAGCCCACTTGACTATTCTCAGGCTGAAAGAAAAAGTGTGACTACAAAGCAGTGAGATAGAGCCTCATTAACCACACTCAGTCATCTATGTCATTATTTTGTCACCACAACCTCAAACTTATTTTTCTATAACTCTAAATAGGGAAATACCTACCCCTTGTTCACAGGAACTCCCTTTGTGCCCCACCCAGGAAACTAGACTGGCCTTTTTTCAGTTTTCAACCTGAGGAAATTCAAATGTATTTGTATGTATGCCTCAAACTAATCATCTAGAAGTGTCAGAGGCTTTAATTTCCTGTACACACCCTTATCTACTCCAGTCCTCAGTAATTTGATACCACACAGAAACCTCTATATGCAGGGCTACCCTCAGCGAGTGGCTTAAAACATTTTAGGGGGTCTCTGCAAAACACCAATAGGCACACACAAAATGACTTTCTCCCCATGCAGTTCTCATATGCCTGCATCTTCTCCAACCAGTCCAAGACTTAAGCACATGTTACATCCTTGCAAACAGGACTGGAGCCACTCGAAGCCAAAACCCAAGTAGAAGAAAATTAAATTGCATTCTCTGTTCCATACAAAATGACTATCAAACCGAGCAGGCCTCTCCTCTTATGCTGCAAAAATTATGTCATAGCCAGTCAGGAGGTTTAGGTGACTATGATGGAACATCCCTGTGACTATTGGTTTATCTGAAGCATGGTTTCCAGTTAAGATGTTTGTAACCGTAATAGATTTCAGAATCCACAGTTGGCCCAGGTTGCACCTGGGTTACTTTATCTAGATCACTGAGTCTGGCTTTCAGGATCAGTGTCTTTCTGTACTGCCTGACACCAAGGCAAAAGTTGCAGGCCCCCAGCCTAGCCTAACAATTGATGGCCTTATATACAATACAGTTTTCCTTTGAGTTTCCTCCCTGGGCAGGTTCTTGGTGGAAAACAAACACATGCATACATACACACACACACAGACACACACACACATTTTCTCTCTCTCTCTCTCACACACACACACACACACACACACACACACACACACACACGAGTCCTCCTTCTCAAAGTTGCTTCTTAAATCACAGGCAACCTTCTGCTTCAGTTCTGCAGTTGGGAAGCCTACACTAGTGTCATTCAGGACACTGAGAAATTTGTCTTTTCAGAAAAAAATAAGGAAATGAAACTGCAATATTTTAAGGCACCTGGGGAGATGAAATAAGAAGGTGGACTCTGGGAATCTAATAGGAAATAACATCGTTGGCATAGAATTTGTAACCACCCTCCTCTCTGTGAAAGGGAGCATTACTGGCACTGTCCCAAGGCAAGTCCTTCCTCAAGTATCTGGAAATGCCTCATTAGAGAGGCAGGCTGATTGCCAAGGTAAGGATCACGTATAACGCACACTTAGCACGTGGACCCTGCCCTGTGGTCCCCTACAGACACAAGGTCTCAGGTTTCCTAAGAAAGCCATGATGAATTAAAAGGAAGAAATGTGCCTTTCCTGCAAACAGCCTGCAATATTTCATTCTCCAATTATCCACAGAGAAGTCTCGCATGGCTGAAGGAGCAAACTTTTTTTCCCCATCTCCCAAATAACAGATGAAGAGAAAACTCTGAAGTGGCCCAGAAGAGCAAAGCCCATAGCAAGCTGCGTCAGTCAACCCTGACAAGCCAACTATTTATTTTCATGAGGCTCCGATGGCAAGGCAAAGACGAGGGCAGCCGGGCAAAGCAGAGCCCTTAGAGCCTTATGCCTCCACTCCTAGTAATCAAAATGAATTCAATTTCCTAGGCCTGTCCTCTCCTGGGCCTCCAGCTGCTTTCTGCAAGTCACCTGTTGACTCCTGTTACCCTACCCCACCCAACCAGGCTTTCCATCAGCGAAGGCTAGAAGTGCCAGGATGCCGCCACCAGGTGGACCGAATTCCTCCTCTGCTTGCCATTCCCCTGTTCTGGGATTAAAGTCAACCTCCTATCTCCTGGGGCCAGCCCTGCCTCCAGAAGTCCACCACTCCAGGAGTACTCGGCTTCTTAACTTTCTAAAGGAGCTAGGCCATTCATCTAGTTGCAGCCCAGCTTCATTTATTTGTCAAATCCTTAGATCACTGCAACCGAAAAATAGTAAGCCCACGCTTTTATCACTCCTGGGGTGAAAAGTTCTGCGGGTGTTTGCCACACATGAATAATGCACTCTACCGAGCAAAATTGGTTTGAGGCAAACAAACCGTTAAAGTGGAGGCAGCTGTTGATATACTAATTACCTCCTTCTAAACATAGACCCGGTTAGGTATTATGTACTTTGCATATGTCACAGTACAGACCCACATATATTTTATTAATGTGAATTTGCATCTCTGTAATACATGTACTTATTTAAATATTTTAACAGTTAAATTTCCCCTAAGGAAGTGCCGATAAACTGACTCCCAAAACACAATTATCCCCTATCCCTCAAATTCCAAGGGCTAATAGGTACTGTCTGCAACTGCATATTATAACTATAGACACAATAAGTGTATTTTATAGAACAGAAAACAAGGTATGCTTTTGACTACAGGGTTCACTTGCAGTCTACAAGTTACGAATGCACAAGACAGAGACCGGGATGTAAACGCTTTTCGTCTCAGAATGAGCAACAGAAATGTATTTGATTTTCAAAAGCCCTGAAATTCTGTCACCCCAGGAACAGAGCTGAGTTTGAAGACCCCCTCTCTCACAACCACCTAACTTCCTCAACACCGGAGACCAAGCACTGCTTGTATTTCCCTTTAACAGTGAGCCCTGAGCCTTAAGAGATAGTTTATGAATGGTATACAGCCCCCAGCGTCTGGCCCTCATGAACTTTACCCCAAGGCCAGGAATGAGGGATTAATCATAGCATCAGGATACGCGTGGTTCTATCTCTGGATGTGGTTATTCAATGGCCAAAATCTTGTCCAATTCTATCTCCATCAAACTTGCTCAGGAATACTCAAAGTCTATGACATTTGATTCCAGTTGCGGGTCAATAGCCAAGTAATGATTTAACACTATAAACTCTCAAAAAAAATTTCCCGTTTAGACAGGACTGTACTTAGGTGTGGAAGCACGCTCTCTGGAACTCAAGTTGCGACCACCTGAGCAGAGGAGGCGAAAGCGACAAAGTAGGTACCTGACAGTGCTGAGTCATTACAAGCTGTTTCCTCTGAAATGTTACGCACCCATGGGCCCTCTGAGCATTAACATCCCCTTTCTGGAGGCAAATAAAATACATATTCATTGTGGAAAATGGTGCAACCTTCTGTAGGCGACAGACCACGATGGGGAATTTAGCACTAAGAGTGGATAGCAGGAACTACACAAACTCGCAGCTGCTCTCTAGGTACCGTAACTTTATCCCAGACGCTCAAAGAGGGCTATAGGGATACCGGGTGGCAATATTCCCCCTGCAGCCCCGGCTCAGGCCAGGGCCACACTAGGGCGCATTTCACTCTAAGCTGTTATATCCCCCTGTAATTGGCGGATGTAGAAAGCGCCCGGAGAAAATGATGCATAATAGATTTGTTCTCGAGGAGGATGCAATGGAGAGTAGAGGACGCAGGATGCTAACTGGTTTTTCTTCCCATGTGCAGGTCACCTGAAAACCCCGACGCTTTTTCGTTCCTCTCCAAGGAGAACCCTGAACTCACCGTCTCGCTCCGCTCTTATGGGGGGAGAGGAATAGTTTCACGCCCACCTGCCCGCCGCCTCTCCTCCCCCGGCACCCCCTGCCCCAGCCGGACGCGCGCGAGCTGCTACCGGCATCAACGGTCCCGCCCGCTACCCGCTCGCTGGCAGCCCCGGCCGGCAGCTCCCCCGGCGGCCGCCTCTGCACCACTCGCCAACCTCCACGCCGGGCCGAGGTCATGCCCGCCTGCCCCCAGCGCCGGGCGGCCCCCTCGTCGGGCCAGGCGGCCGCTCGAGAGCCGGGCTGGGGAAGGGGCCCGCGGCGGAGTTGGCTCGGGGACTCACCAGGTAGGCGCCCACCGTGCCCTGCGCCAGCATCAGGGCGCACTCGGACACCAGGAAGATCTTGATGTTGGAAAAGCAGGACACCTTCTTTTTCTTTTTCTTGTTCCTCTGCGCCTCGTCCCCCTGCAGCTCGCCGCTCCGGCCGCCGCCCGACGAACCGCCCGGCTTCTTCCCCTGCATCCTTCCCCCGCCGCCGCCGCCGCCGCCGCCGCTGCCGCTTTCCCGCTCGCCCCGGGTGTCGGGGCCGCTGCCGGGCGGGGGTGCGCGCCTCGAGGCTGCGTGCTGTCCCCGCCCCGGGTTCGCGGCGGCCGCCCCCGTCCTGCCGGGGCTGGAGAGGTGGAAGGCACAGCTCCTCGCCGCCGCCGCCGCCGCCGCGATCGCCCCTTCCTCCTCCTCCTCCCCCGCCTCCGCCCTCCCCTGGCCTCCTCCTCCGGCTCCGGCTGTGCCAATCACAGGGGCTCGTCGCGCCGCCCGCCGCCGCCGCTGCCTCGCCTCCCGCGGCCGCCCGCCGCTGCCATCGCCCGGTTCCCCTTGCCCGCCGGCCGCGCCTGCTCTCACCCCCTCAGCCCCAGCCCCAAGGCCTGGGCCTGGGCCGCCGCTGCGCGCCCTCGCCGAGCCGCTCCTCGCTGCCGGTGCGCCCCCGGGGAGGCACGGGAGGCGGGCTT
Organism: Homo sapiens; assembly: GCF_000001405.40. NCBI lineage: Eukaryota > Metazoa > Chordata > Mammalia > Primates > Hominidae > Homo > Homo sapiens. The sequence goes on along the minus strand of NC_000015.10, from coordinate 91,853,423 downwards.
GGGATGCGGAGGGCGGCCCGGCGGCCGAGGCTGGGAGGGTCCGGCTGCCGGGAGAACTGGGGAGACCCGGAGTCCTTGCGGAGTAAGGGGGGTGCCCCTGAGGGCGGGAGGCGGCGCCCGGCCCCTAGGTGGCGCTGCGGGGCACGGGGCCCCGCGGCGGAGACTGGCGGCTCTGCGCCGGGCGCGGAGATGGGGTGCGGAGGCGCCCCCGCGGGGCTGGGACCCGGCGCTCGGGAACCCGGGTGCCCAGGCCTCAGAGGGCAGGCTGTTCCCAGGAAGGGAGAATACTGAGTACCCAGGAAGGGCTTGGCGCGCGCTCTTCTCCGCCCGGGGATTTCTGGGGACAGATGTTGTGCTCTGGGTCTTGGGGAGGTGCCAGAGGTCAGAGCTGCTTGAGGCTTCTGCCGCCTGCCGGTTTCTGCCCCAGCTGTCCCCGGCCACAGGGGGTGTTGAAAAGGCCCCAGACCGAAAGGACAGAAAGGGGAAGTTAGAGGAATACGTCGGGAGCCCCACGGACCGTTAGTGCCCCAGCCTCGGTGTCCAGGCGCTGCAAGATCGCCGCGGCCCCAGCAGAGGGCCTTCTCCGGCCCTTCATCCGCCCAGGGCCCCGCTGCTGGAGCGCTCAGCAAGCGGCCAGCCGCAGGCCTGCTGGGTCCCCACCCGTCCCCTGGCTCTGTGGCCCTGGCCACCATCCTCGGCCTTGACCTGAATGCCTGGCCCATGGCAGCCGCTCCTAATTACTCCCCACTCTCACCGTTACCAAGGAGTGTGGGCCACAGGGCACTACCAATAGGATCTGCTAGTTCTCAACTGCAGCGTTTGGAAGCTGAGAGAAAAGCTCAGAGGGCTGGACAGGTACCAGGAAACAGCACCTTCCACCTGGGCCATTGGGGGACTCAAGGAATCATTTAAAACGGTTTCCTTAATAATTGTGTCAAAGAAAATGACCCACTCTCCCAAGCGCCTGTGTCCAAATGCAGGCTCAACTTCAAAACTGAATAGCAATGAACCCGACCATATTTTTCCTTTCTCCCGAAGAACTTGAATGAGAATGGAGGGTGTAATGGTGGGGATGTTGTTTTGCCATGGCATTTAAATATAAACTGCTTCATCCTTCTGTGGCTCCAGACGTGATCTCACCCAGGCTTGGTGTCGCTTTGAGATGCCCTCACCTTGTCTAGGCCACCTCCTATCTGAATTGGCTCCCCCCACACTTGAAGTCTCTTCCCGTCTTCCCCACTTCCTGAATCAGTGGTCACACCATTCCCGGCCAGTCCTATAATGAGAATCCTTACTGCCCCCTTCTTTCTTCCCCACACCCTCCTATCACTCGGAGCCAACTTCTCTGCAGGATCTTTATGTCCCCCTCTTTCCCTCCCCATCACTTTGCTTCATGGGCTACCTCCCCACTTCCTCCTGAGAAGACCCTTGACAAGCTAGCTCTGTTCCCTGCCTCTGTGACGGTAAGCTGCAAAGCTGAGCTGAGACTTGTCTACGAATGGTGACCCCATTGCTAATGAAATGTGCGGAGTGCTTTATAGTCTTCAACTCTTATTTACATTCTTTGTAATAACAAGAGCTAATGTTTACTGTGTGCTTATTATGGCCAGACACCATTCTCAGTGCTTCACCCGCATTTACAACGTAATCCTCACAGCAATCCTCTAAACCAGATACTATTATTAGCCTTGTTTTACAGATGAGACAACTGAGGCCTAGAAAGGTTAACCTGACCAGTGTCACTTGTCTAGTAAGTGGCAGGGCAAGTCTTTGAAAACCAGGTTGTCTGCCATCATAGCCCAGGTTCTTTATAACTACATACATATTATCTCGTTTATCACGCAGTGTGGTTCATCTGATGGGGAGGCTGGGACTTATGTTGTTCCTCTTTTATAAAGCTGGAAAGGAACAAAACTTGCATCCATGTCCAGCCCTTTTTGTTCTTTTTTGTTTGTTTGTTTGTTTGAGATGGAGTTTCGCTCTTGTTGCCCAGGCTGGAGTGCAATGGTGCGATCTCGGCCCATGGCAACCTCCACCTCCCGGGTTTCAGTGATTCTCCTGCCTCAGCCTCTGGAGTAGCTGGAATTACAGACGTGCCACCACACCCGGCTAATTTTGTATTTTTAATAGAGACGGGGTTTCTTAATGTTGGTCAGGCTGGTCTCGAACTCTGATCTCAGGTGATCCACCTGCCTCAGCCTCCCAAAGTGCTGGGATTACAGGCATGAGCCACCACGCCCGGCCAGCCCTTTTTGTTCTATGCCACAATGCCTCATGTACAGACTGAGAAGGGCACAGCCTTCTTTCAGCTTAACCATTTATTTTAGATTAAAAAATTAGCTGTCTTTAGAGAAATCACACACTTTTGCTGTCAGATAAAGGATTTCGGATTAGGGTTGTGGATTCTTCCTATAATTAATGGTAAGCAGCCATGAAAGTAATCCTGGTGCCTGAAGCCTAAAGAATCATCAAAGTCAGCCTCAGGGAAATCAGGCTGCGGCCTCACAACAGTCAGAAAGAAGGAATTTAACAAGTTCAACTCCCTTCCTTCTTTGCTCATCCTTTATTTACTTGTAGATCAGGGCTCCAGGGATGATAAGGTGGGTTTATGAGCACCAAGTGCTTCTGCTTGGCATTCCCCTAGCCCCGTATGCAGATAGAGGAAGCAGCAGAAAAATAGTAAACATCCTTGTATCTGTACAGCACGTTAATGCTTATGAAGTACTTCTATGTCCTGTATCTCAGCTGAAGCTTACAACAGGGAGAGCTGGTCTTATTAGCCCCTTTTTTTTCTCAAAAGAAACAACAGTAGGTGGATTTTGGGAGCTCACCGCCAGCAAGTGGCAGGAATTGAGTCTACATTTGCCACCCCAAATTGGTGGGAGTGAGAGGTGAAGCCAGCTGGACTTCCTGGGTCGGATGGGGACTTGGAGAACTTTTCTGTCTCACAAGAGCATTGTAAAATGCACCAATCAGCACTCTGTAGCTAGCTAGAGGTTTGTAAAATGCACCAATCAGTGCTCTGTAAAAACGCACCAATCGGTGCTCTGTAGCTAGCTAGAGGTTTGTAAAATGGACCAATCAGCACTCTGAAAAATGGACCAATCAGCAGGACATGAGTGGGGACAAATAAGGGAACAAAAGCTGCCCCACCCCCCCCCCCCCCCACGCTGTGGAAGCTTTGTTCTTTTGCTCTTCACAATAAATCTTGCTGCTACTCACTCTTTGGGTCCGTGCCACCTTTAAGAGCTGTAACACTCACCGCAAAGGTCCGCAGCTTCATTCTTGAAGTCAGCGAGACCACGAACCCACAGGAAGGAACCAACTCCTGACACGGGAGCAGGGAGGAGAAAGAAAGGGAGGTAGAGGGGGTTTAACCCTTCCATGAACTGCAGTGCCCCCTCCAACAAGCCTCTGAAATAGACGGTTAACACTCATGTGAGCAGGAAAGCCGACAACTTAAACCCCATTAAAGGCCTCAACTGGGCTTCCTTAAATGTTGCCTTGGAGAAATGCTGTAACCTCCACTTCCATGCTAGGGCCTTTTTCATTCATCTCTCCCTCTAGTGGTGGATGGTGAATTTAGGAAGAGGTTGGTATTATGAATGACTCTAGAACCTTTATGATTATTTTAGCCTCTCAACTACTTTCTGGACTAGATGACTTTTCAAGATGAAAATATTGCTAGCTAAGGCTGTGGTTCCGTGATTCCTTACTTTGTTGGCTACTAGAGGTATTCTAAACATTGAGAAGCCAAGTAATCTTAAAATCTGATGTGGGGAAGCAAAAAAGAAAGTGGGGTGACATGAGAAGATAAACTGGCTTTTGGTTCGTAAGATATTGATAAGCTATAGGTAAATGCTTAGTGATCAGGATTTGAAGAGCTTTCCTCCCTCATTTTAGAGAGGACTGTCTATTCATTTTGGTAGGAGAGAAGTGGGTTAACTATATGGTCGTGGGAAAAAACGACAATATCTTCCTCTGTTACTGGACTGTGAAAGATTTCCCAGCAAGCAGCCTCAGTGTAATTCAACACAATGAGAAATTGTTGTTCAAGTAATTCACGTGAAGCATCTTTTGCCAGCTTCAGTTTTGTTCACAGGCAAATACAAAGTTGAAGAATAAATGCAAAGAATGATTTCTGATTGTCACTGGGATGGAAAATGGATGCTTAGATTCTCACCCTGTGAATTTTTTTTTTTTTTTTCTGAAAATGCACCAATCCTATGTTGTGTCCAACCAAGGATAGAATTGGGGCTAGGCCAACTTATTTGGCTTGAAACTAATATTTGGGCTGAGTTGAAGCTTATTTTCTTTTTCTCAGAGTTTTTCTCTCCCCACCCCCATTTTCCAATTAGCCTGGTCCATATGCCTTTCTACCAAATAGCCTCCGTTTGCTACTTACTATATTCATAGTTTCATATTGTGAATTATATCTCTTAATTTGAATGTGCCCTAAAGCTCAGCAAAGAAGTGAAAATGATAAACATCAATGTAGATATACTTCTAAAAAATGGTGAATTCAACTGGAGAAACAGAAGAAAGAAAGAAGACCATTAATGGAAATAGAAAGAATTGATATGAGAAAACCAGGGTTTTAGGAATCTGTTATATTTATGGAAAATGAGTTTTGAGGTAAAGGAGAAAGAATAGAGATAATAAACATTTCCCAATATTAGTACATTTGGGGAGATCATCATTTGCTGCTTCTGTTGATATGCATATAAATAGAATTTGTTTATCCACATAGACTGTTAGCTTCTTAAGGGTATAGAAAGTGTTTTACTATAAAAATAAAGGATCGGCCAGGTGCAGTGGCTCATGCCTGTAATCCCAGCACTTTGGGAGGTCAAGGCAGTTGGATCACCTGAGGTCAGGAGGTCAAGACCAGCCTGGCCAACATGGGAAAAACCAGTCTCTACTAAAAAATACAAAAATTAGCCGGGCATGGTGGTGAGCACCTGTAATCCCAGCTACTCAGGAGGCTGAGGCAGGAGAATCGCTTGAGCCTGGGAGGCAGAGGTTGCGGTGAGCCGAGATCGTGCCATTGCACTCCAGCCTGGGCAACAGAGCGAGAGTCCGTCTCAAAATAATAATAACAATAATAATAAAAATAAAGGATCATTTGTTCTCAGTGACCACCAGGCCTCGTGCCAAGAAGCTTAATACCTCTGATTAGGACAGAAGAGATCCAGAAGGTGTCAATGTTCAGAAGGAGTCAATGTTTATAGAAAAGTTCCTTCCAGGCATTCCCCCCAGGGACCTCCTCTGCATCCTCTGTGCAACTACACACACACCCTTCTTGCAGCAAAAATTGTCCCCACGAGCCCCTTTCCTGGACACAATGTCTTTCGTCCTCTCTCTCGGAGGAGGGTTTTCCCACCTTTGCTCCTGGTCTCTGAAAAATGCACACAAACCTTGATATTTGGAGAGTGGGTTATGCTATGGTAGGCAAATGACATGAGCCAGCACTGGAAACCAGTTGAAGGCCCAACAGCATTTCCACAAAGGAAGCATGAGGGATAGTGATTATATGTCAAGAGTATCGTGAGTTCCAAGCTCAGCAGAAAGTGGTCACAGCTGTCTGCCCTCCTGAGGGGTAGTGGGTGCCAGGCCTGTGTACCTCAAGTGGGCATGGTGCAGTCAGTCCATTAACCCTTGGACTGATCAAAGTGAAAGAAGAGTTTCTGGAGAACATACAAGGAGGTCATGGAAAAAAAATCTCCAGGGTGTAGACTGCCACTACAGAGAAAGAAAACCTAAATTAAGAGAATGGGTTATAGAGACATCATATACCCATGGGAGAAAGATACAAAACCTCTGCTCGGGATACATTTGTTTCCTGCACCCTAGCTTCCTTACGCTGCCTCCTTGCCATTCCTCCAGGCATACGCCTCTCCCATACTACAGCAAGTAGGAGGGTTGAGGAGTGAGGAGTGAACAAACAGAACAAGAAGTCTGTCCAACCTTTGATGACCTGTTATGGGCGGAACTGTATCTCCCCCAAAATTCGTATGTTTCAAACTCAACCCCTACCACCTCAGAATGTGACTGTATTTGGAGACAGGGCCTTTAAAGAGGTAACCAAGGTGAAACAAGCTCATATGGCTCCAATCCAATAGGACTGTATCCTTATTGGAAGAGATCAAGACACAGATATACATAGAGAGATGACCATGGAAGGACACAGGTGGAAGGCAATTATCTGCAAGCAAAGGAGAGAGGCCTCAAAAGAAACCAAACCTGTCAACACCTTGATCTTGGTATTCTAGTCTTGAGAATGGGGAGAGAACACATTTCTGTTCTTTAAGCCTCCCAGTCTGTAGTATTTTGTTATGGCAGCCGGAGCAGATAATATACAACCGTAACCCTCCCCCAGCCGTTCACACACCGTACACTCCATCCGTGCTTAATTACAGTTCCTTGAGCTCACCATGCGGTCTCCTCCTCTAAACACTTGTGCAGGCTGTTCCTTCTGCTTGGAATGTCCTTCCTTCCCCCTTTCTTCAGGGGGCTTACACCTACTAGTATCTTAAGATCCAGCTAGTGTCACCGCCTCCAGGAAGTCCTCAGAGAATACCCTCTCACTAACTGCCTCCTGACTCCCTCCCACCTGCTTCCCCTCTCCGCCTGAGCCAGCCTCTGCACACCCTAGCATGGATCCCACTGTGGAGAGCTCTCACTGTGCTTCTCCCTCATTAGCCTTTGGTCAGTGTCTTTCATTTCTATATTTTTGCCTCCTAAAAGAGCCAAGCCCAGAGTGGTCAGTAACTATGAGGGAGAGAACAAACAAGTGAGGACACAAGAAGAAGAAACCCTTCATCACTGGAGCTGCCCAACAGGTATGGGACAGGAGAAAATGGCAAGAAGAGCCCGTAAGCATTAGGAGGAAAGAAGAAAACGGACATGGTAGTGACAGTAGCTGTAAGACTGCACCTAGCCAGGCAGGAGGTGAGAGCAAGAGGGATTGCCTAGAGCCTGGCTACTCAAAGTGTGGTCCCTGGGCAGCAGCACAGGCATTATTACATGGAAGGGAGGGAGAGAGGGAAGGAGGGAGGGAGGGAGGAGGATAGAGAGGGAGAGACAGGGGTGGGGGGAGAGGGAGAGGGAGGGAGGGAGAGAGAGGGAGAGAGAGACAGGGAGGGAGGTGAGAGAGGGAGGGAGGAGGAGAGAGAGAGAGAGACAAGGGAGGGGGGAGAGGGAGAGAGGGAGAGGGAGAGAGGGAGGGAGGGAGGGAGGGAGGGAGAGAGAATACTCTCAGACCAGATGTGCTGAATCAGAATTTAAAGTTTAACAAGCTCTGCAGGTGTACATCATGACTTGAGAAGAATTGGCTTAGAATGGTATCAAAAGAAGCCTAGAGTTAGACAATTTTAAGCAGTATTTTAGTATTTATATTCATTCCCCTTTTTTTATTGTATTTGGGGCTTTAGAAAAAAGGACTAAGAGGAACAATTGGCTCTAAAGATGACGCTGGTTATTTTCATTCTCTGGGAATCCTCGCACTGTGCAGTCCCGCAGGGAGGGAGCATAGACGACTAATGACATGGCCAGGGAACGGGGGAGTGGAGGAGAGGAAACCTGCCGTTTTATTTTGTGTCTGAATGTTGTTTTGGTGGCATATCTGAATCTCAGAATGAAAGCTGAGATACTGAGCTTGTGGATCATAATGGTTGCCTGGATTTCCCCCTCCTAACTGCCTTTACCCAACAAAAATCCAGAGGCTCACAGGACATAAAAGGCTGAAAACCCAGGATCCTGACTATGGATGGTCAGTTTCTCAGGGAAATTACTCCTCACACAGGACAGATGGGATGACCAAGGAAGAGGAGTTCCTACTTCCTCCATAGGAAAAAGAGAGGAAGGTTCTGCAGAGGGGATGCTGGCTGGTTCCCCAACCAAATAGCCTGACAGTCACCTCCTGGCTGCCTGAGGATGGCATTCTCACCTTGCTGAATCTATCTGTGCAATTGCAACTCCCAGAAAGGCGCAGTGGGCCTCCGTGAAATGCATGGGTGGTTGCAGAGTATGCCCTGGGATGTAAAATAATGTAAGTGCGAATAAGGATGGGAAACTTTTAAAAAATTATCTACTGCTGGGTGACAACCCACCACAGAACTTAGTGGTTTAAAACAATACGTACTTTGCTCAAGAAATCTGCAGTCAGGACAGGGCTTAGGAGGGAGAGCTGGACTCTACTGTCAGCTGGGATCATCTCATTTGGCACCTGGCACCTGGTCTACAAAGACAAACAGCTGCGGGTGAGAATAGCTGGGCCTCTTTGGGTATCTGTTTGCGGGCTCTCACCCTGATCTCTCCAGCATGACAGCCTCAGGGCAGCCAGACTTAATGCATGCAGGCTCCCGGCTCCCAGTGTACCTGCCTCAGAGAGGGAGCCCTGTGACTTTTATGACCTAGCCTCAGAAGTCAGCCATGTTAGTTCTGCTGCAGCCTGTTCATGGAAGCAGCTACAAAGTTCCATCTGTACTCAAGACGGGAGAACATAGACTTCATCTCCTGGTGAAGGATGTTTGATGTCACTTTGTTAGAAGAACCAAGGAATGAGGTATATATTTGCTGTGGCTACCTTTGAAAAATACAATCTGCCAGATACATTGAGAGCTCTGTGTCTTGGAATCGGAGTTTCCCCTGCACTGTTTCAGGCCACAAAAAGACTATGGAATGTTTCAAAGTATTTAGTAATGAATTCACCTTTTATTTACAAAGAAACAGGGAAGCAAGAGAAATTCATGTCATAGTGTAACAGTACACATTGCTAGCTAGACACCATAGCTTCCTCTTCAGTTAAACATTTAAGAGGAAGATTCTGGCAGATCCAGAGTACAAACAATTTGGACAGCTATATCCTTGTTGGAGAGGGAGTAAGTGCATATGCGCTGGGGGATGGTATAAAGATACATTGAGTCTATGAAAAATATTCCGTAACATGTAACAGGAGACTCGCTAGACCAATGAGGCAGAGAAAAAGCATGCCTGTTTAAGGGAAAGCTGACTGCATAAAACAGAAAAAAGATTTAATCCTGCTTTTTTTGTGTTCTTAATACTAGGCAGTATGTACTTTCTGAAGTAAGAATGAAATTGATGAAAAAGGTGACACTTGAGATTCTGAGATTGAAAAGGAAACTGACATGTAAGAATTGAATTCAGGTAAACTAAAAATAAAATTGTGGAATCAAACTTCAATTCTGATGCAGTGAAGACCAGAATTGAAATCACAAAAAGCCAAATAAATAATGTAGAAAACAAGGTAGAGAATTTTTCTATCAATGCAGAGAAAAGAAACAAAAAATGATGACAGAAAAGATAGGTAAGTTGGTCCATCAAAAACAAAGACTTACTCTATGGACAAGAAGGACCCAAGGGAAATATAACCAGAACAAATGACGTTGCTTTACCATGGAGAAAAACGGAATAAAAACTTGAGCTAGAAAAAAGAAATGTACAACTTAAAATACTGCACCATGTTCCGGGCAAAAGTAAAGATGTACACAGACATAATCTAGCAAATTTGTTCAAATGGAAAAGATTTTAAAATATTCTACAAACATCCAGACAAAACAAATGTTACTTATGATAAAAAATGAGAATAGGCTGAATTAAGGGTACAGCACAAGACTAGATGCTACATGAGAAATGAGTAAAGTCTAAATGGTACTAGAAAGTGCTTATGACTCAAGCTGAAATGTTAATTTGCAAAGAAAACAAAAAGAGATTCTTAGATATTCTAGTCAAGGGTTCAAAAAAGATACCACCCATGCATTTTCTTGAAAACATTAAAGATACGTTCCAGTGAAACAACATGTTAAAGACAAAAACTCAATAGCAAAAATGAGTTCAAAAGAATTGTGATAACCCCAGCTTAACATACTAAATTAAGTTTAAAAAAGTTGTAAATAAAGTACAGTTGGAAATTTTTCTTGAGATAGAATAAAAGTAATAAATATGTCCATAATTCTAAATGAAGTTGGCAAGAATGGGGGAAAAGGAGTGTATGTGGGAAAGAAGAGTATGAAATTCTTCATCTTGTAAAGTAAGTCAAAAGTTATATCATTCATGAATTTGATGATTAGAGAATGTATGCATTCAAGTGTGATCTTAAAAAATAAAATTTGGGCTAGGCACAGTGGCTCACGCCTGTAATCCTAGCACTTTGGGAATGCCGAGGTGGGCAGATCACTTGAGGTCAGGAGTTCAGGACCAGCCTGGCCAACATGGCGAAAACCTGCCTCTACCAAAAAATAGAAAAAAATTAGTTGATCGTGGTGGCACGCGCCTGTAATCCCAGCTACTCGGGAGGCTGAGGCAGGAGAATCAGTCGAACCCAGGAGGCAGAGGTTTCAGTGAACCAAGATTGCGCCACTACACTCCAGCCTGAGTGACAGAGCAAGACTCCATCTCAAACAAACAAAAACTGAATTTGAAGAATTCAAAGAAAATACATACTTATAGAAATGGGGAAAATAAAAACCAAGAAAAATGTTAATGCACGTTCAGTATCCCTTATCTGAAATGGTTGGGGCCAGAAGTGTTTTGGATTTGGGAGATTTTCAAATTGGGGAATATTTGCAGAGTGTATACCAGTTGACCATCTTTAATCTGAAATCCTCCAATGAACACTTCCCTTGAGGGTCATGTTGGTGTTCAAAAAGTTTCGTATTTTCGAACATTTTGGATGTTTAGGTTAGGGATACTCAACCTTTACTGGGCGGGGGGCGGGGGGGGAACAATATAATATAATAGAAAACATCACAGACTTTTGAGAGAGATATCTTATTTTGAAAGTGGTTCAGGCACTTCCTAACTTTGGCCTTAGGGAAATTAACTTATGTACTTAAAACCTGAGTCTTCTTGTTGTTAAAACGGGAAAAAACATACACTTCCTAGGGTACTTGTGGGGATGGATTATCTAAAGAACGTAGTTCAGTGTCTGGCCCAAATATGATTTGATAAATGAGTTGTTGTTGTAATTTGTTGCCATCATTGTATTTTTCATTATCATGATAAAAGATTAAAAATACTTGCATCTCCCTCTGTGTCTTTTCCTCAGGGAAGCTGTCTTGGCTTTGTTTTATGAACCCACTCCTCAACTGTATCTGACATTTTAAATTCTTTGATTTGTATCCTGTTCTAGATTTCTGATCAATTCCACAGACTTGATTTTTATAATGCTCCTTTCTTTACCCATGATTAAGTGTGAGTTTTTGCTCGTTTTCTTGCCTGCAACTGATTTCTGTGTCAGTGTTGAGACTCAGTTTCCCTGAGCCCTGGCTGAGCAAAATCACAGATACTCAGAATAATTACCCAGGATGGGAGGATGGCCAGTTATAACAATAAATGTAAGTGATTTATCTTCCTATATTTAAAATACTAAGACTTCAGGATTGCGCTAAGAAAATCCAACTATGACCTGCTCACAAGAAACCTATCCAAAACGAGGAGACACATATAAATAAAAAATAAAAGAAAAAAGATCTACTGGAAAAACACAAAGAAAAAAATAAAGGTATTAATGTTAACTTTATTCAAGACTGGGTACATAGCCGAAAATATTCAATAGAGCAAAGTACGCATAAAAATATAAAATCATCAGTGATATTTTATGCATTAAATATATAAATATATAAAACAAAGGTATATAAGAAGAAATGGACAGAAAGCAATTGTTTTATGTGAGCCTTTTATGGAACTATTGCTCTTTGACAATAGGAAAAAACAAAATATATACGTTTTAAATGATATGTATTATATATAATTAAAAGGTGTCTATAACAAAACCGATGAAAATAGAAAATATTTTCTAAAGATAAGCATAGAAAATGAACAAATTATTAAAAATAGAATTAGTAAAGTTGACATATGAATTCAAAAACATTTTAACATAACTGGAGAATATATGAAGGTGAAGAGAAAAAATAAAATGTAAAAGTAGAAGGGAAATATAAAAATAAACAGGAGAATTTTAACAAATACAAAATTATTTGTTAAAGCACAGTGTTCATAACTTTGAAAAGTTGAATTAAACATATTTTCATGGCATAGACTACCTAACTTTAAGAAAAAGGGTCATGAACTTTTAGAAGAAATCCTGGAGATATATATGTATGTGTATGTATTTTATTACTTCCAAAGATGTCTCATTTTCTGAAAATTTTACCAGTGATAACTTTCAGAATTTCAGAAAGACAGATAATACCATGTTATATGATTTTTCTGGATATAAAAACAAAAGCTGACTGTATAAAGATTCATTTTATGAAGTCAGCGTAACATTGATCTAAAATTGACAATAGCACAACCAAAAGAAAATAAATACTATTATGATTTTGCAATGACATGTTAAATATTGTGATGACATGATGAAAAAATGTAGTGCCAATCAAAAGATAGTGTTATTTTTCTTATATGACATTGTGATTCTAAAATGTATATTAATAACAAGCAAAAAACTAAAAATTATTGAAAAAGGAGAATCAGAGCAATTTCAAGTGTGTAGGCACATCCTACTAGGTATTAAAATACATTACAAGCAACTGCAACCGAAGCAGTATGGTACTAGCTCAGGAGCTGGTAGGCAGATTGATAGAATAGAGCAGTGGACCCTGAAGTAGACTCTCGTATGTATTCCAGTTTAAAGTAAGGACAACAAAAATGGGAAAGGCAGAGATTGTTTCTCAAATGGTTAGGAAAATTGATTAACTCAAGTTATAGCTTCACTATCCAGCAGCCCAAGACAAAAACAACAATAAAAACAGATGGATTAAAGAACCCACACATAGACAAAAACTTCTGGAGAGGGAACGATATTCTAAGCATAAAAGCAAATGTAAGTAATTACAAAGGAAAAGTTAGATAGATCTTCTTACTGTTAACACAATTGAAAGTCCTTTACATCGAGGAACACGTTCACAACAATCAAATTACAAATTAGAAAAAGTAGTTGTAGTAACAGAGCAGAAAGATAATACTGAAATAGTACATGAAGTACTCTTACAAATCAGTTAACAAAATACTCCAAAAGACATGGGCAGAGTATCCTCACAGTAAACTTAAATACAAAATATGATTATCTGGAAAAAATATTCACACTCACAACTAATCAAATACTAATTTAAAAAGTTACAAGATACATTTTATTCACTCATTAAAATAGCAAAACATTTTTTAAAGAAAATTTTCTTTGCTGGTGGAAGTTTGAAAAGACTCCCTAAAATAAATTGCTGGCAGAAGTATAAGTCCGCACAACCTCTGTGAAAATTTATTTGGTACTATCTATACAGGTGTCAGAGGCGTTTGAACCAGAGCAACTCCATCTTGAATAGGAGCTTGGTAAAATAAGGCTAAGACCTGTTGGGCTGCATTCCCGGTAAGTTAAGCGATTCTTAGTCACAGGATGAGATAGGAGGTCAGCACAAGATACAAGTCATAAAGACCTTCCTGATAAAACAGTTTGCGCTAAAGAAGCCGGCCAAAACCCATTAAAACCAAGATGGTAACAAAAGTGACCTCTGGTGGTCCTCACTGCCACACTCCCACCAGTGCCTGACCGTTTACAAATGCCATGGCAAAGTCAGGAAGTTACCCTATAAGGTCTAAAAAGGGGAGGCATGAATAATCCACCCCTTGTTTAGCATATCACCAAGAAATAACCATAAAAATGGGCAACCAGAGCCAGGGACTGCTCTGTCTATGGAGTAGCCATTCTTTCATTCCTTTACCTTCTTAATAATAAACTTGCTTTCACTTTACGGACTCACCTCGAATTCTTTCTTGCGTGAGATCCAAGAACCCTGTCTTGGGGTCTGGATCGGGACCCCTTTCAGGTAATGTAGGTACACAAATTATCATTTCCTTTGGCTCAGTAATTTCCCTTCAATGAATTTAAGAAAATAATCAGACACATGAACAAAAATAAGTATAATGCTTTGCTTATTGTTTAATACTTATTGAAAAATTATTTATAATACTGAAAAATTTGAAAAACATGTTCATTAGTGGGAGACTGGCAAAATTACCTTTTCAAGAAAAGACAGTATGCAGTCATTAAAAAAATCTTTTCTAAAACTTTATGAAAGAAATGCTCTTAGTAAAATAAGTGACAAAAGGAGGATTTTGAATTATATGTAGGGTAGGATCCAGTTTTTGTTATGCATACAGACACATATTTAGGACAATGGGTTCTGGAGTTAGAATCAAAGTACCGGGATTTGAATCGCCTACTCACCACCTACTAGTTTAAGAACATGAATAATTTACATAACCTTACTAAGCCTCTGTTTGCTTATCTTTAAAATGGTAATAATGAACCTGTCTCAGCATGCTATTGTGAGGACGAAGGAGGGTTCAGTGTCAGGTGCCTAGTATACAGCCTGGCTCATAAATGGCAAGTTTTACATTCACATGAATTGAGTTATCATTAAAATATATATATATTTATATGAGAATTACAATTTATAAAAATTTTCCTTAGTATTAAAAAAATGTATACACATTTTATAATGCATTTTTGCCTAGGCTAATGGGCAGCCTTCAACAAATATCTCATGTACTCTGCCACAGCTTAAAGGCATAAAATGAAACCAGGGCTGCTGTAAAAACCAAAATCCACCCTGCTAAACTTACATTGAATAAGAGATCAGATATGTGCCGCTCGTGCTCACTACTTTCTAGGTCTTTTCTCTGTAAGTAAATGTTCTCCCATTTCCTTGTCCAGAGCCTTCCTCCTAAGTATAATGGTAGCAAGGGTATCTATGACACAACCCCCAAGGTGGTGGCCACCCCCATTATCCCCCGTCCTGTGGATAGAAGCTAAACTTATGGCCAGTGCAACCCTTGTGGAGTTCCAGATCCTTGAACAAATTATCAGCAAATCTGGAGTTATCAGTTAAGGAAGATATACTTTAAACACGTAAGAAAACTAAGATTTCTAGAAGGAAATATACCAAGTTGAGACAAAGAAAAAAACAGTGCTTCTGTCCTTTCAATGTTCATATTAAAGAGAATGTACAGAGGCTGCATCACTCTTGCTTTGTATTCCTATATTTAAATGTGTCGAAAGAAAATTATAGAGACAGATATGGAACTGATGGTAGAAGAAATATGAACAAAAGGAAATACCAGGTTCTTCAAAACTGGATCATGAAACAGAAAAAAGTCTTCTCTTTTCACAAGAAGTAAAGCCAGGCCCTCCTTGTAATAGAAGATTAACATGCCACCATCCTGAACAATTATTCCTCAGAGGCAAAATGTCTTACATGCATTTCCCAGGGGCCAAGAAGTCATCTGGGATGGGGGTTGAACTTGGGAATCGGTGTGATAAGGGCCACAATGAGATGTTGGAACAAAAACCAAGTATTGAGTCTTCGAACGTCAGTGTGATGTGAAGCCAACACAAAGGCAGATTAATATCAGGGCTTGAACTATGAAGTAGATAAGGTTCAAGCTGAGGTCATTTGTTGTACTAATATATTAGAAAGTCTTAGAGGTCGATAAAACCTCATCCTCTGAGAAGAGTCAGGTACAGCAATTAAATTATGTTAATAATATTAGGGAAAAAACCCAATGTGAACTCACAGCATTAAAAAGCAATATTTTTTCCTAGCTATGTGTTCCAACAGCAGTAGCATTTTGGTTACTGCCTATGATTTGGACAGGAGGCAAGGAAATTCAATACTGGGTAGAAGAGGGCAGTTCCCAGGCAAAGGCCCCACCCTCAAGCCTGGAAACCCACGGCCCTAAATGAGAACAGGCATTCCTGTTTTTGTGCCCAAATGGTGCCTTTTGGCCTGCCATGCTCCCTTATCCTGTACCCATTATCCCAAACTCCAGGATCCACAAGCAGAAGAGCAGAGGAGCAGAAGAGCTGCACAGCAGAGGAGAGAAGAGAAGGAGCGTCTGAATGTCGAGAGGAGTGCAGCTGGGGACAGTTGGAGAGGGGATCGGCTGCCGGATGGCTGAACTCCAGGGAGAGATATTCGTTCTACTCCATCCCCTCTCCAGCTCCCTATCTATCCCACTGAGACCCACCCCTATCCGGCAATACAATTTCCCGCAATTACCATCCTTAAATTTGTCCATGTGACCTGATTCTTCCTGGATGCTGGAAGAGGATCTGGGTACCAAGAGGGCAGTGAGCTGGTTAACACTCAAGCCATCAGTGGATGGCAGAGCTAAAAGAGCATTGTAACACACCCAGTGGGGCTTTGGGAGTCACAGGCACCCACCCCTAGATGTTACTGTGGGGCCAAAGCCCAAAAGCGCTCGCCCTGGCTCCTGCACCTGCCCAGATGCATGCTCCCCCTCCCGTAAGGGGTTTGAGCCATGATAGTGGCTGAACACACAAGCCACACCCCTGTCACACATCCTGCAATGGGGGTCAGGGAACTCTCCCATTTCAGTAGCATTTTGGTCACTGCCTATACTCAAATGAACTCCTAAATGCCCAGATTTGGGTCTCTATTTCTCACCCTCACTAGAAGGAACTAGCACTCCTGGATCACACATATACATGCAGTAGCATGAACCCAGAGTACCCTATTGTTTCCAGAAAGGAAAGATAGTTTCAAAAATGCCAGAGACAGTGCTGAAAGGACAAAGGAGCCAGCTTCAAGGTCTCCTGCTGGCCAAGTTATAATTTGAGCATCAAAAAAGGTATAATAATTGCAGTTAACTGAAATATGATGAGTTTGTAAAAGGCCAAAATTTTATAATGATATTCAGAGAAAAGTTAATATATATTAAAGGTAATTAGAATGAACATAGAAATTTGGCTATCATGGGATATGTTTAATTTTTTATTAATTTTAATGAGGAAGTTAATATAAATTAGTTTTTTATTTCTTCTATTAACTCTGTTTGATTTTAAAATATAGACATAAAACTCATGTCAAGCTGCATAACTAGAGAAGAGGCAGTACAGGAAACAGTTAGCCAAATTGCCCAGGGAAAATATACAGAAACTCTATCAAGAACAGGAGGGTCTTCCAAGCACCAGTGGCCACACACAATAACTAGAAAAAGGATCAAAACTGTGTTCCAAGATGATGAAGTCAACAAATATCTTAAAAAGGAGAATGCATTGTACTACCCCGGTTCTACCTGTCCTGAGAGATGAAACCTCTGGATGGTCTCACTCAGGATGAGGCACTACTGAGGCAGCCATACATTTTAAATAACATCAATAGACCAGACCCAGTTATCATAATGACAGGACAATGGGTTATGTCATGGTAGCCAAGACAGACATCAATGTTTGATCGGGAAATTCCAGGCTACTAAAAACTAAAATCCATGGGGAAAATGTAGACTTTATTTTTAATTGATATGAAAAGTCAAGATTAACTTAAGAAGAAAGTTTCAGCCTGGTGTCCATTGTTTGGATTTAGATAGTCTTCAGAGAAATAATCTGACCTCCTGCCCTAACCAAGAATCAATGCTTCAACCAGATCCTACGACCTTGGCTGTCTTAAGTTTATATTCCTTTTCTTTTTGGTCTGGAATACTGTAAACTTGAGATTTTTAATTAAGTACTGCTATAATCTTAGATAGTATAGGCGTAGTATAAAAAATTAAGAAATGGGGAAGAAAACAAGATGTTGACATTTTAGGAATAGACATAGGTATTAGTAACATTTTTCATAATCATTGTATTTGTGTATGTCTTGTAGTTTGATGTGTTTGAGTGCTTAAAGGGATGGCATGGAAAACAGGGACTAAAAAGTTGTCCTTTAAAACAAATGACACAGAAGAATTTTTATTGAGTCTTTCAAGATTAGTTTCTATTGCATTGAGAGCAGAACAGACTGTAGTGGGTTGAGGAGCAGATGGAAATGGTTAAGACTAGGGTGAGGCAAGAGTCTTGGGGCTAAATAAAAGGGGAGGGGGTGCCAAAAATGAAGTAATCAAGATAAATAATTATTTCCTTTTTTCATGTCAGACAGACAATGCATCTACTTCATAAAAAGATTTGAGGGAGACACATCTCACACATGAAAACCCAATCATCATGCTTATAAACCGCAAAAGGAGCAAGATTAATATTTTAAGGCACTGTTTTTTAAAAGTCAAGATTAATGTAAAGAAGTCTATGATAAACAAAATGTCCCTATTACATACTGGTGGGATGAAAACTAAGAGTGTGGGTGCCCGTAATAGGTCCTTTTAAAAGCTGCCTGTGGGCAAGAAAGAAGGGAGCTTGGGCTGGAAGGAAAGCAAAAGTCCACGGAGGTGGGTTGGCTTGCTTTCTGGTTTCAAGATGGGAGAACTTTGAACATATGCCAATGCTTAGGTGATGGCCTAAGTCCAATTCTTTCTCATCCAGCATCGTAATTACGGGGAGCCAGAGGAATTTGGGCACTCCGGTTGGAGACATAGGACAAACGAATTCTTCCTGTGTGCATGTTATTGGGGTAGGGGAGGAGAAAAGCTTTCATGGGACAGTGGGATGTCTTGCTTCAAATGACAAATAGCTCTATCCTCCTGAGAACACGCAGGCTTTCTTATCCCTTTTTTCCAGGCTGTGTTGATTTGATAGCCCCATTGCCCACATCCTGCTTGCATTTCTGCCCAGGCTCAATTCTTTCAGCTCTTTTCTTTCAGCTTCTTTCACTTTGCCAGGACATCATTGTGAGGGTGGGATCGGGGATAGAAACTCTACACCTTGTTACTTAAAGTGCAGCCAGGGACCACACCAGCTGGGAGCTTGTGTCTTGTCTCAGATCCTGCCTCATTGGGAAGCACCACTTATACCTCTGGCCTCAAACTTGCTCTGCATGGGAGGCACTTGGAGGCCTTCAAAAAAATGCCAATTGCGAGTTCTCCCCCACCGGCTCCTGGATCCTGATTTAATGGGTTGCTCTCACTGCACTTCTCAACGTGGAGGGGGCATCAGGATTCTTGAAAACTCCCAGGTGATTCTAGTGTGCAGCAAAACAGTAAAGTTTGAGAACCGCTGCTCTGCACCACCTACTCCCCTTTCCTAGCTTCTGTGTGGCCATTTCCCAGCAGCTAGAGGAAGGGCAGAGGAGAAAGGAAATAATCGTTTTCGTCTTGGATTCGGGATCATAGATGGTGAGATCGATGATTTTCCCTCCAAGCGTCCTGTGCCTCAAACTTTTTCACATTAAAGCCAATCAGTCATCTAGTAAGCGTATTAGCTATTAGGTTCTACATTATCCCATGCCTGGGTTCCCACAACCTATGAATACAAGTATTTCTCACCTGTTTTCATTTCCCTTTGAAATTCCAATGAGCACTCCAGGTTGGAACAGCCCTTGTGTACTGGGGCACCAACTCTGCAGCTTTTCTTTCCAAATTTCAAAGTTTAGTTTTTAAATAAGAGGCTTATTTACTCACATAAGCTTATGGGTTTTCCCAGGCAAAAAGGGCAGATTTAAGTTTAATCAAATTTGGGGGAACTTTATTAGTGTCAGCTGGTTCACTATCTTTTCTCTGAAAATGCTTCAGAACCACAATAGCCGAGCGCTTGCCTTGTTTTGATCATGGAGGTAAGACATCACTTCGTTCCGCAAAGACTGAAGTTAACAGTTGAAGTTAGGGTTACTCATTTTGAGGCCTCCTTTCTTTTTTCAAACCAATTATAGTGATTTGATCAAATAATTGGCCAACAGTATTGTTTTAGTCAAGGTTCCCCAGAGAAATAGAACCAGTAAGACATATATAGAGAGAGATGAAGGATTTATTAGATATATATATAGAGAGAGATGAAGGATTTATTAGCGTATTTGACTCATTTAATTATGGAGGCTGAGAAGTCCCAAGATAGACCAACTGCAAGTTGGAGAACCAGGAAAATCAGTAGCTTGGCTCAGTCCCAAACCCAAGGTTTCAGAACAAAGGAAGGTGACAGTGTAATTCTCAGTCCAAGGCCAAAGGCCCAGGATCTGCTGATGTGAGTCCAAAGGCCAGAGAAACTGGAGTTCTGATGTCTGAAGGCAGGAGAAGAAGGGTCTCCTGGCTTTGGAAGTGAGAGGAAGAGAATTTGACCTTACTTCACCTTTTCGTTCCCTCCAGGCCCCCAGCCCACTGGATGGTGTCTGCTACATTGAGAGTGGATCTTCCCCATTCTAGTTCACCTACTTACATGCCAATCTCCCCCAGGAGCACTCTCACAGACACACTTAAGGCAGCCGAATTATTCTAATTAAATGCCAAATGAGTTGGGTTTCCCTTTCAGCAGAAGGGGGATGGGCTCAGTGCCTACTGAAGCACTGAGAATAAATAATGCCTTCCCAGCTATTTGGGTTCCTTTAATCCAGTCAAGTTGACACCCAAATCAACCTTCACAGTATTTCTGTCTTAGTCTGTTTGTGCTGCTCTAACAAAATACTGCAGACTGGATAATTTATAGAAGACAAGCATTTATTTTCTCCCAGTTCTGGAGGCTGGGAAGTCCAAGATGAAGGCGCCAGCAGCTTTGGTTGCCTGGCGAGGGCTGTGTCTGCTTCTGAGATGGTGCTTTGATGGTGTATCCTCTGAAAGGGAGGAACACTATACCCTCAGGGGTAAAAGAGCAAATGAGCCAAACACTGTGTGAAGCCTCTTTTATAAGAATCTCAATCCCACTCACAAGGGAGGAGCCCTCATGGCCTAAACATCTCTTAAAGGCCCCACCTCCTAATACTATCATATTGGCAACTCCTGAATTTTAAAGGGGACATATTCAAACCGTAGCAAGTACAAACCTTAAACTGAGAAAGAGGAGGAAGAGTAAAGCGTAGAGAAGAAAAATAGGAAGAAGATGAAGATAAACAATGCAACAAGCAGCTTCAATGCACAGAATATGTCTCAGACATTGAACAGCACAGAACAGCGAGTAGGTGCCCATCAGTCACTGTTTGAATGGATGAATGGATAAATGGATAGATGGATGATCTGCCATCCATGGCTCTTTATCAAAGCCAAAGGATCTTCTCTGAATGAAACAATCATGGTAGGGTAGGGTAGGGAAATTTATTTTTCTGGAGAATAATGATTGACCTGGGGTCCAGATGAAATAAGATAAAGGGCCATCTGGTGAGAAGTCCCCAACCCAACATAGGATTAGGCTGCAGAGATGGCAGCTGTCCACACAAATTTCATTCCTGGTGACTACCTTTTCTATTTCTGTTTGATCATGGCAGACAAGTGACAAAGAAGCAGCCCTCTGTAAGTCTCTTGACTCCCTGGATCGAATATGTCCCCAGTCCTAGGGAGAGACCTGCAAAAGAAATTCCATGAATGCCACATTCCAGCCTAGCAAATACACACTGACATTTAGGTCTGAGTGTCTCACAATCCAGGTACAAAATAGAGCAAAGACTGAAAATGCTTCTAGGAATTAATGTCTTTTGGTCACTTAGGATCAGTGAGCTGGTTTGAAAAGAAAGGAAATTTCATCTGGACAAGCTATACTGTAACTGGGCACTTCTACAATGCAGTAAATTGATAGGCCTTTACCAGTTACTTTTATTAAGAAACTCTTACAGCACAACTCTGAAAATACAAGTAAAAGTGTACTGATTAAATCTATAACAAACTGGAGTTTTCAAAGTTTTAAGATGGTCTAGTAATCGCAGAGAAATCCCTGGGTGCTATTTGCTGTAGAGCCATGCATGAGAAAAAGACACTAGGAGATAGGTGGAAAAAAACCAAGGTGTGTTTTCCTGTCCTTTCTTCTCTATTCAACACAGAACACAATGCTTCTATGGCCAGATTCATGTTTTTTTTTCTCCCCACACACCAAGCAATCAATTCTCTAGCCACCTCTCCAGTGGACACCAGGTGGTTGTCCTCTGAGTCAACTTAATTCTGTCACTATCTACCTGGAGACAGCATCAGATCCCTCAGGTTGGGGGTTCAGCCCTGCAAGACTGCCTCCCACTTCAGATGCCAATCACAAACCCTAGATTGTGGCCTGCCCCTCTGCCGATTGGCTATAAATTGGGGTTCCCACACCCCCCTCCTGGAGTTTGATTAATTTGTTAGAGCATCTCACAGAACTCAGGAAACACTTTACTTATGTTTACAGGTTTGTTATGAAGGACATTACAAAGGACACAGTTGAACAGCCAGATGGAAGAGATGCATAGGGTGAGATCTGTGGAAAAGGGCATGGAGCTTCCCTGCCCTCGCTGGGTGCTCTACTCTGCAGGAATCTCCACGTGTTTAGCTTTCTGGAAGCTCTGTCCAACCTTGTCCTTTCTCAGATTTTTATGGAGGCTTCATTGCATAGTCATGATTGATGACATCATTTGACCATTGCTGATCAACTCAACCTTCAATTTCTCCCTCTCTCCCCTTTCTGGGGATTGGGGGGTAGACTTGAAAGTTCCAACTCTGTAATCATGTCTTGGTCTTTCTGGTAACCATCCCCCTTCCTGAAACAGTTTAGGAAGGTCACCAGCCATCTCATTAGCATACACAAAGACACTCTTATCACTCTGGAGAGTCCCAGAAGTTTAGGCGCGGTGTGTCAGGAAACAAGATACGGTCATGTCTTGTTTAGTGATGGGGGATATGGTCTGAGAAATGCATTATTAGGCAATTTTATGGTTGTATGAACATGAGAGCCAGTACTGACATAAACCTAGATGGTACAGCCTCCCACACACCTAGGCTGTATGGTATAGCCTATTGTTCATAGGCTATAAACCTGCACAGCATGTTACTGTATTGAATACTGTGGGAAATTGTAATACAGTGATGAGTATTTGTGTATCCAAACATGTCTAAATATAGAAAAGGCACATTAAAAATATGATAATATAATCTTATAGGACCATTGTCATATATGTGGTCCATCTTTGACCGAAATTTTGTTATGTGGTTCATGACTATATGTATTTCACAATATCAGGAATTGTGCTTTTGTTACCATCACTTTTTTGAAGTCTCAGGAAGCACCATTTGAGGAATGCTGCAATGGGCATTGGCTTTTGCACTGATTTAAAGAGGATTGGCTGAGAGGAATGGTGTTCTCCATATACCAACTGGGAAGGCTCCTTTCATGAACTTATTAAAAATCATACTTTATTCTCTAGTGCCATGGGCTATTCCCCCTGTCTGGAATGCTCAGACCCTGGAAGATGAAGCTTTTCTAGAAAAACTGTGAGAGGGAATGGTTTTAATACCTCCCCTATGCAAAAGGAATATGTAATGGCGACAATTTATCTTGTTACTGTTCCACATGTCAAGTCACTGTGCTTTTGGCACAGCGACAGAGAACATAATCAACTTTAGATTGAGGAAATTGTGGGTGATAATTATAATTACAGGGCATAACTCTATTTGCTTTTAAAAATACAATTTTTAAGAAAGTAGTGTAGAAATCGGAATCCGTCATATTTCTATTTCAGTTTCAAGGAAAAGCTATTCATTGAAAAGACATTCTTTTCTTTTGGATATTAACACTTTGGAGATCATCAGACTAAAGGGATTTAAAAGCAACGCTGGCTTCTTTTTTTTTTTTTTTTTTTTTTACCTAAGTGGGTTTTGCACAGACTGTTGTCCCTGTCTGAGATGCTTAGCTCCTGGGTCACTTGTCTCAGTCTTTAGGACTCAGTTTACCTGTCACTTATTCATAGAGGCCTTTGACCTAAATTAGGTCACCTATTATATTTCCTCGTACCATTTTGCGCTGTTTTTTCACAACTTATAATTATTATATTTTATAGAACCTAAGATGCCACTAATTGTAAAATGCACCATTATTGTACATACCTCTGAGAAAGTTCATGAGAAGAAGCTCAAGGTGAAGAATTTAGCGTGAGACTTTCCACACAAAGCTGGCCTACTGAAGTAAGGGCACATAAGAAATGAACCCAGCATGTAGAAAGGGACAGCAAGGAAACTTGCCAGTTTCAACCTTAGCCCCAGATGGAAGGAGAAAGAAAAGTCTCTCCTTTTCAGGAGAGAATCGGGAGGTGATCATCTTGCAGGTTTGTAGTCTAAAGTCCAACAACAAGTGTGGTCCAGAAAACCTCAAATGGAGAGTATAGTTTAGAAGGAATCCCATGTTGAAAGTGACCTGGGTGAAAGAAGCAAATTCATATACAATCCGGAAGAACTTGACTCCCTTCCAGGCCAACTTCATCATAAGACATATTGATGGTACAACGTGTCTCAAATTTGAATGTGCTGAGATGTTTAAAAAGCAGTTGCATTTGAAGATCAATGAGATATGCGGTAATTTATTTGCATGGATATTTGCTTAATGTTTAAGGTTCATAGGACTGGCATCTGCTTCCTCACAACTTCACCTCCTTTGCCCGGTACAGTGCCCGCATATAGTGGACACTCAATAAACAGGAACAGAATGAATGAGCGAAACAAATTCCCCTTGAGCTTCACTTGTTGAAACTTTGACTTTTAAAAAAAAATCCAGTTCTACTCACTTATGTATGTCAAATCACCTTTTGACATAGTGGAAAGAGTATTAAACAAGAAAATTCGAGACCCAGGTTTTGACCTTAGCGTCCTTACTGATTAACCCTATGATATGGGGCAAAGCTTTTAATTTTTCTGGTCCACAATTTACCCCTCTGTAAAGTGGTAGGGTTGTGTCTTATTATCTCCAGGGTCTCTTCCCATTCTAATAGATTGTGCCTTGATTGTATAAAAAAATAATAATGAGGCCCACTATTGTGGAGTATGCATCATCATAGTTATCACATAGCCCCTCATGATGATAAGAGAGTTGACATAGTGCTAAGAACTTGGTCATGTATGAAATCCTGATATGACTCTGTCTTCATCTTTAGTAACATTTCACTACATGAAGGCTGCACTTTTCATGATGGTTTTAAATATTTTTACACAATGGATGTAAATGGCAGTCAATGTAAATAAAGAGTAAGAAAGTGAGCCCAAGGAAAATAAAACATGATTGAAAGAACCAGGTATTTGTCATGGATAAGAGGAAGTCCAACGCTTTGAATCAAGGCAGAGACAAATAGCGGAGGTCAAGGTAAATTGTGTGTAAGAAGCAAGGTAGATTTATAAGAAACAGGCCACCATAAACCCTGAAGCTTTGAGTCAAGCAGGAGTCAATTTATGGGCAATCAGAACCCAAGGGATTCTTAGGAGCTGAAGACAGAATGTAAAGCAAGGAGAATGCAAGAGAGAGCTTGTGTAGCAGAGGCAGGATGTTGTACAGTTGCTGTCCTGGGTCGAGGAAATTTTCAGTCCATTCTGCCCAGTCCTAATTCAGTCAGGGTGTAAAGTTTCCCTTCCACTTACAAAACGTCAGGCCTCTGTTAGTCTACTATAAAGTGTCTAGGGCCACAACATGCGGTTGTCCACAGGCAATGGGTCAGCTGTGTGAGGGAGGCCAGTATAGCCTCTTGTACTGAATGCTCCATGGCTGGTAGACTGATGGCTGCAGTGGGTGACCATTGCTCAGTGACAGCCCAGGCCTGCTCAAATTCCACTTAGTCTCCTGATCCTTATGAAAGAAGTTCCTTCCCTCATTCTTTGAGAACTAAGATACAGACATTCCTTCTCCTACTGACCAAGACACCCCGGGCATTCCACTGGCAGTGGCCCCAGGGGCCTGTGGACAACCCGCCCCCCGGTGGCCCTGCCACTCAAGACTCACTTGAGTCTTCCTTCTAGCCTGGCAATGACTCCCAGTCTTCCCCTCTGCAGCACAGCCACTCCAACTTTGTCCCAGTGTCTCTCCTGTTGACCTACACTTATTCTGTAGAGTTTAGGTTTCTTCTTTAGGAAGGGGATCTCTTCTTTCAAAGACTAAGTATCCATGACGGGGCCTCGAAGATAAAGGCTTATGGCCCTCCCCTTCCTCCTTTCATTGACAGTCCTGAGTCCTGCATCTGTGCCTGCCTATTCTCTCTCTCAGGGTTTTGACCCAGACTCCACTCCAATTTTTGCCGGGTCAACCGTACAAAATATAGCTGCATGTGCATACAGACTATTAAATGTCCTGAGAAAGACCTCCCCCAGAGGTAACCGGGGGAGCCATGAGAGCCCCAGGGAAGCCCGTGCTTGGCCATCATCTGTTCCTTTCTTGAGCCAGGCTCTGGAGGAACAAACAGGACGTGGCAGGGGTGTCAGCTAAAGAGCTAGTCCTCACCTCCTGCTGCTTTGGGGCCCATTGGCAATTGCAAGGCCCACTCTAGGCTCACCCCCACTGGAGGAAAGCTTTCCTGATTGTATGGCTAGACTCCATGATGAATGATGCCAGAGTTAAGAAAGCCAAGAGGATGAGAAGGATTCCCCACTGATAGGAAGTGAGATTTTCAGCCAATAATGAAGCTCACTTGGCCAAAGTCTGGGGGCCTGGAAGATAAATACACATGTGCAGAATGAAACCTACATCCCACTTCCCTGGAAGGAGGTAGATTTCTGGATGAAAGAAAGTGTCATTGGAGTGGAAGTGGTGGGTAGGGGGAGGGAACAATAGTTTATTAGGGAAATAATGCATTGAATGTCATGTTTTAAGAAAATATTAAACAAATGTGTGATTTATTCTCCTAGTAAATGAAGCAAGAATTCCAATATATTCCCAGGGAGGACAGGAGGCATACATCACCTCTGGAAAAAGGAGGATATGTGTATACACGAGTCCCAGAGTGGAAGAACAGGGTAAAACCTACCCAACTACCTGGCTCGTTGTGGGAAGGAGAAAGGAAACAGGTAGTGGAGGCAGGAAGTCAGACCTAAGCATACTGACCTCCCTGCTCCAGGCCAACAATGAGGCAACACTTTACGAAACCCATGTCCGGGCAACTGCTCTTCCTGGCTTCATTTATATTTGGCTGTTGTTTTTCTCTTTTGCATATTTAATTCATTTTTTAGATTTTAGTATGGGAATGCATGTCGCCCATTGCAAATCCCTGTGGAATGAAAAACAATATGCATTCATTATGAGAATATATAACAATGGAGAAATAGCCTGTATCTAGGCTTAGTCCAGATAATTACAGGGTCTTCAATTTTAGGGAAAAAAAAGAGGGCTCCAAGAAGTTTATTTTGGGAATTTGGAAGCATAGTAGAATCCGAGCCTTCCTATTTTATTTTCTGAGAAATCGTGTGGGTGTGTGTGCATGTGAGTGTGTGTGCATGTGTGATAGGGGAATGGCAGGCACAGAGTTGGTGCTAAGGGTGATAAATATTACATGTAACTGACAATGACAATTACACATTTCTTATATGTTTTCAAGGAATCAGAACACACCATACACACACACACACACACACACACACACAGACACACACACACACCCATGTCAGTTTTCAGAGAATTAGAACACAATTTCACTTAACACTAAAATATGCCGAACATAATTTTAATCTTTCTTTGATGATCCAGAAGCTATTTTAGGCTCCCTATGCCTCTGGGTTATTACTATGAACATAAATTATTATCATGCAATTCTGCACCGTTTAGGTTGTTCACATTTTTCTGGTTATTTTACCCTGAATGAATGGGAGCTTCTTGTAGTACTTTAATTACTGTGCAGAATTAATCATGAATGTGCAGATCATTTAAAGGTATGCTTGGGTCAACTTAGAGGGAAACAATAAAATTTGTCCTAAAATGGAAATGTATATGAAAACTCTGCTAGTTGGGCGTGTTTGGTGATTGATTTCCCAATCAAACATACAAGAATTCCAGGGAGAAATAGTTCGTATTTACTTCAGAAAATCAGAGAAAATTTTAGTGAGGAGGTTGCATTTGAGCTTGGCTTTGAGGTATCAACCAATTAACTAAGACCAGAGGGCATTCCAGTTGTGGCCTGTGGAAAAGCAGCATCAACATCCCCTTGTCAGGAATGCAGGATCTCAGGCCCTCACTCTGACCTGACTAAATCAGAATCTAAAGTTTAAGCAAGATCCCCAAATGATTCGTGTGCATACTAAGTGTTGAGATATCCTAGTTTAGG
Source organism: Homo sapiens (assembly GCF_000001405.40). NCBI lineage: Eukaryota > Metazoa > Chordata > Mammalia > Primates > Hominidae > Homo > Homo sapiens. Next base: position 91,825,503 of record NC_000015.10, on the reverse strand, counting down.
ATATCATTCGTATTATTTGTAAATAAGGGTGAAAATGGTATCCCATTATGAGAATCCTTGATACCATGCCAAGGGATCTCGACTTTATTTGGTGGATCATAGGCAGTATCCAAAGCTTATAAGCATATAGGGACAGCCAGCCTGGACATGAATTAACTAGAGTTGGTGCAGGGCAAGGTGCCCTGATGCATTAAGCTCCTTGAACTTGAAGTCTAGAGAGAGGAAGGATGGTGGAGCAGCTAGACTGACAGGGTATCACTGGGGAGACTGGATCAGTGGCTATTTACCAGATGCTGATGTGAAAATGGAAGTGTTACTCTGGCTTCTGTGTTTCAGATAGATAGTAGTGAGGAGACAGAATCCAGGGGTGAATAGTTAAAAGGTTTTGTGATTATTGAAGACAGAGATTTAACTCTTTATTTTGGGAGGCTACAGAGAGGATGGATATAAGGATAAAGATACTTTAGAAATTGCAGAGGCAAATTGACAAAACCTGGCCTATTCAAAAAAGATACCTTGGGGTATATTAACCCTTCAGTTGCAAAATTTTAATATGATTTCTAATGGGAATAGTGTCATTTAGCTGAGCTGAATTTTCACTCAGACTTTTGGGTAATGGTAATTAATGGAGCTCAACCAATTTGAGCAATGTTGTTTTCATTTCACCTCTTGTCAGTATTGTCTGATTATGCTAAAAATGAATGATAGATGCACATTCTCCCCTCAAAACGTAATCAATTCAGTAGGGTTTCAACTTTAAAAGCATCTGAAAGGCTTATTTACTCTGCATTTGAATACACACAATGAGAGAATGAGGGCATATTGGCATTAAGTGACAGTTACAAAATTTGTGTGTAAATACAGTCAACATATCATTTTTATTGACAAAAAAAGAAAACCAACATTTATTGAGCATGTGCCAAGTTTTGGTTACTCAGTGAGTGACCTTCCATAAGTGACCTTCCTTTCATGTCCGCACCAAATCCACAAGATAGTTCTTTTCACTGTTATGCAGAAACATGAGGACAGAGACTGGCATGCGTTATTCGCTCAAGGTTTCTGGGCTCTGAGCCATGGGATTCAGACTCAGGACTGGCTGACTCTGAGGGCTGGGTTTTCTCTCTCACACTATGCTACCTCTCAAGAAAGTAAGATTCAGAACTCTTTTAATTATGGTAGGAATTACATTTTCCAGTGAAATGGCTAGAAAAAGCAGAAAGAAAAAAGGAAGAAATGTGAGAAGTCAGCCTTCTGGGGCCTCTGGTGGATGCCTTTGAGCTGTTTTTGGCTTTGCTGTCTGTTGGGGGCTGCCCTGGGACCCTTTGGAAGGGGCAATAAACATGAGTGAAGCTAAAAGCTTTGGGGAAAAAAACGAATGTTCTTTTTAGACAGGAGTTTGGTGATGTAGATTCCGGAAATTTTTGTAAGATAACAGTGGCAGGTTTTGCCCAATGATTGGGTCGATATAGAACACAAACCCTGTGTTTGTGATTTATCATTACCTATTTAGGGTTAATCATAGGATGATCAGCTCAGGGATTTTGATCTTTATGAGCCTTTTAGCCTCCTCTAGGCTTGCACTATGCCCTCTGTGATAAAGTCAATGGAAGCCATTTATTGAGTGCTTACTATGGGCAACTCTCATGCTGCGTGCTTCGTATTCATATGATTCCTTCTATCCCTTACAATTATCTATGGGGTAGCTATTTTTATCCCCACTTGCAAGCAAGAGCATTGAAGCTTAGAGAAATGAGATAATTTGCTTAAGCTAGGAAGTGTAAAACTATGGTTTGTCGTCAGGTCTATCTGCTGATCACAAAAGCAGCTTCTAAGAACCATTATGCTATACTGCCTGTATTAATCTGTTCTTGCACTGCTATAAAGAAATGCCTGAGATGGGGTAATTTATAAAGAAAAGAGGTTTAATAGGCTCATGGTTCTGCAGGCTGTACAGGAAGCATGGCAGCATCAGCTTCAGGGGAGGCCGCAGGGAACTTACAATCATGGCAGAAGGCGAAGGGAAAGTAGGCCCATTATGGCCAGAGCAGGAGCAAGGTGGGTGGGAGGTGCTACACACTTTTAAACAACCAGATCTTGTGAGAACTCACTCACCATGATGAGAACAGCACTGAGAGGATGGTGCTAAACCATTCATGAAGTATCCACCCCCATGATCCAATCACCTCCCATCAGGCCCCATCTCCAACACTGAGGATTACAATTGAACATGAGATTTGGGTGGGGACACAGATCCAAAGCATATCACTGCCTTTTATAAGTCTGGTTTTTTTCCCAAGCATTTGTTGACTTTGCTGACTTTCTCACTGAACTATGAGCTACTTGAGGGCAAACCTGAGCCTTATCTCTGGGACCTGAAGCCTAGGATGGTGCCTGATACATAGTAGGCACTTATAGGCACTGGAAGAAAGAAACAGAAGGAGGGTAAATGGAGGGCAAAGCTAATATTTAGTGTTTATCCTAGTCTTTTCTATATGTAAACATAAATATTTCTCTCTCTATATTTAATGTGAGAGCATCATAATATACATACTTTTTAGTAATCTGCCTTTTCCCTGAATTTATATGAGCTTCTTTCTGAGTCATTATTTTTCTAAAATTATTTTGACATAAAAATAAATATGTACAAGTATTATGTATTCATAGTAATTTAAAACTACAAAAAATTTAAAATGTGTTTCCCATTTTCCTCTCTTTCCACCAGAAAAATAAGCTGTTTATTGGGGGAAATTAAGATACATTACCTTGAGATTCTCTCATGGGGCATACTGGCTTCTGGAACTCTATTTAAAACTTAATTTTCAGAAAAAAATAGCCATCCTCAATGTAGGACTAGATAGAATTGTAAGGGCAAATACTGGTAAGATTATTTCCAAGTTTAATTTTATCTCATCCTAGAGCCACAATATTTTATGAAATGAAGCTAAAAGCCCTAAAACAGCACAAAAGGAAACCTTCATGCTCTTAATAAATTTTATCAATACTCCAGATTTTTATGTTTTAAAACAATAAACCAGTTTACCACCAACAAACTACATATTTAGTTACTCAAAAGTGTGGTTAGTGTTCAGTATATGTTGAATGTTGATTGGATTTGGTAGTTCAATCCCTTTTAACCTCATTTTCAACAACTCAACATTTTTCCCTCAGGGCTTAGTGAGGGGTCAGGAATGTGATCCAGGGTCTTGGATCCAAGAACTTAATCCCCAGAGTGTGCTGTGTTTGGAGAATCCAGGTGATGTCTTGTGAAACCTGCACAGACCTGGGCACTTTGTTTCTTTGGTTTTGAACCAGCCTAAAAGGTTGCTGCCAATGGCAGAGACGAGACTTGTGTGAAGCCACCTAGAGGGAGGGAGGATCTGCTGAGAGGGACACTAGCTTGTTTCTATTTACCTTGTGCAGGTCCTGCCCATCCTTCCCCTCTAGAAGCTGACTTGTATCTTCCCATCCTAACTAGCTGAGCTCCTTCTGCTTTCCCGCAGAAGCATAAGCTGGCTACAGTCTCCACAGGAGTGTTGACACATTTTGGTTCCATGGTCAGAGTTCTAAGTCTCGAGAGCTGCAGGGATACCGTGTCTCCAGCTGATTGCACAGCAAGTGCAAAAACATACATCAGCATGACTAGACCCTGTCCGTGGGTCTGGAGTCAGAGATTCAGGAATCTAGTTATATAATCTTGCAAAGCCTCAGATTGTAAATAAGGATAATAAATATATTTCATAGAGTAGCTGGGAGAATTAAATTAGGAAATATGTGTAAAGTACGTAATATATCAGCCATGTGACTAAGGTCTTACACTTTTACTGAATCACCACATATGTATTAAGCACTGGCTTTGTGCCAAGCCCTGAGGTGCCAATGGCAAGATAAATAGACATGATTCCTTTCTACCAGGAGATTATATTTCGGTAAACTCAATACGTGTTTGTAGTTTTTTACTATTATTATACCGTTTATCAGTTATCTATTGCTATGTAAGCCTTAAAACTTACAGGCTTGAAACAAACCTTCTTATCTTTGTTTCTATAGGCCAGGAACTTGGGAGCCATTTAAGCTGGTTGGTTCTTGCTCAGGGCCACTCAAGCTGATGGCTGGAGTTGCAGAGTCATCTGAAGGCTGGACTGAGGCTGAAAGATCTGCTTCCAAGATGGTGCCCTCACATAGCTGCTGGCTGGAAGCCTTAGCCCTTCACCATAAAGCCCTCTCTGTAAGGGTACCTGAGTCACCTCATAAGGCAGCTGGCTTTCCCCAGAGTAAGTGTTCCACACAGAGAGCCACATCTTGTCACTTCCAGGGTATTCCGTTTGTTAGAAGTGTTGCAAAGGGTGATATGTGAGTATCAGATCTGTAAACAGAGCATATAGGGATCACAAAGATGGCCTTATCTTATGTTTCTTCTGCTGTAAAGAGTCCAAATTAATGAAAGACTTATTTTCTAGAATGTTCCTGGTTTCCCTTCCATTTCTGCTTCTTTTAAGATCTGTGTGAAGAGCTTTGTCCTTTCCAAAATAGAGGGAACTGAAATTGAGGTTCTTTTCCTTTTTAATCTATAAGAAAAGTTCTTTAGTTCAAAACCTTATTAATAATCATAAAACCTGAATAGTCTGTTCAGTCACCATAAGTGAGCACAATACTTCTGGTTTTCCTAGAAATGGTTGAAAATCTTGGGTGCTCAAGCCCTTTTTCTTATGCCACAGTTCTTTCTCAGAGCTGATGAACATGTTTACTTCAATAAAATACATAAAACCTACCTTTGATGTGCCTCATTTTATTAATTTATTCCTTCTAGGAGGATACTTCTATATTTAAAGGTGCCTGGCATCCGTCAACAGAGAGAAAATTTTCCACACACCATTCAGAACACTTGCAATAACTTAAAATGCAGGATATCAAAAGTTAGGCATTGGTGTGTATGATTTATATGTGTTTAATCTTACTAACCACCACATTGGGTGAGTAGGCTCCTTAAATCTGTTGGTTTATAGACAAAGGAAGGCAAACTCATCTGTTTCTCCTGTAACTGTGTTTTAAGAATGACTGAGAACTAGTGCAAGATTTCCACTGGCAAAGCATTTTAGAAGCCACACTGGACCCCTTGTGGATTTTCACTTCATATTTTTCACTGTATGCTATTTACCCTATTGTTAATGATCTGCGGTTAGGTCAACACCCTCAAGAAGAAAAAGCCTAAGACACTGTCCTCTTTCTTCTGTTTCCTTCCCTCTCCGTTAGATTGGTGTTTAATTGATGTCATTTTCACTGGCAAAATAAAGAAGACAATTTGTATCTAATTTGGTAGCTCAATGTTTTCCTGCTTATAACTTTTCAGTGGGGTTCCATTGCTCTTAGGAGGAAGGTGAAATTCCTCACTTTGGCACACAAGGCTCTGCATGGCCTGCCTGGTCCTGTGCCTCTCTCCATCTGCATTTTTGTATGTTGCTTCTCTTGCTGTCTTGGCATCAGTCATATTGGCCTTCGCTTGACCCCCATAGTACTCATGATCCCTCCTGCTACAGGACTTTTGCACATGCAGTTTCTGTTGTTCCCTTCGCTCATAATGTTCTTCCCTCCTATCTTCACTCGAAACTCTCAACTCAAGGCACTTCAGGGGAGCCTTGCTCAACCTTCCTGACCAGGTCAAATCCCATTGTTGGTTCCCCAAGTGCCATGTAACTCTTCTTCTTCTCCCTCTGTTTGTTGCTTTTCTAATGTGTGTTGGGGTAACTAATTCCTATTCATTTTCTTTGGTAGATGGACGTCAAAGAACGTATCTGTTTTTGATCACCCTGGCACCTAGGTACTTAGCACAGTGTCTGGGACATCACAGATGTGTAATCAATACTTGCTGAGTAAATGCATGAATGCACCAGGGTTTGGACTTCCAGCACTTTCATTTTCTAGCTGTGTGAATTTGGGCACATTCCTTTAATTTTTCTAGCTTTAAGTTTGTTCTCAGTCAAGTGAAGTTGATAATATACACTGCCTTCATTGTCATGAAGATTAAGAGGGGCAATTAAAGTAAAAAAATGCTTAACACAGTGCCAAGCATGTAGCAGAAAATAAATGTTTGAATATTTGTATTAATCTTCAGCCATCACATAGCCCTTCAAAAAACACCGTGGCTTTTTTGTACTTAAAATTCAATGCGATTTTTAGTTGAGTCTAGATCAGTGCTTTTTCATCTTACAGATGAGGAAATGCAGGAAGAGAAGGCTTTAGTTTCTTGCCTTGGGTCAGTGGTTGCTTAAAGTCCATTCTTCATTTTGGCAATGAGGACATTTCCTTTCTAAATCCAAGATTCATAAGTACTGAATGTAAGAAGCCAGTAACCTCCTTTCTGTGTTTGATTTTTAGTCCTTGATGCTTTTTTCTCCTCATCAGAGTTTCATCTCTCATTTCTACCTGAGATTCTATCTTCCCTCATATTTATGTTTAAATGAATGAAGTAGTATAAATCCTTCTTCAAAAGAACTAAATTTGGATCTGTTACCAAGAGGACTGGGTTCTATTGTCTGTTCTTTGCCTCATGTACAAAGAAGCCCAGTTCCAGAGGAGGGGAGAGAAGAGAAAGATGGTGTCTTCATGGATGGATGGTACCCAGGAGCTCCCATCACACAAGATGCATCCTGGGTTTGGGGAAGTGAGATGACTTCCAAACCTCACCCACTGGTGGAGTGTTGACCCCACTCTATAACTATGAACAAGCCTGAGCCAGTCACACATCATGTGACTTGAGGCCAAGGTTAACAGACCATCCATACTCCAGCTTCAATGTCTTTCACACCGCCTAGGGGTCAGTTCACTCTTGTTCAGATTCTTGGCTTTGTCTACTATTAAAAAATTCTCTTCCTATTCTTTGGACTTTCCTTTGAGCTTGGTATCTTTAGCTCGGTCTTCAGCCCTGATGATGCTAGTAATGGTAAAATAATAATTCATCTTTATCACATACCTGCCATGTGCCATATATAATATATATTCTTTGTAATTTTTATAATAATCCTTTATTATATTCAGTTTACAGACAAGGAAACTGAAGATCGTAGATATGCTATTACTTTCATATCACAGTTTATAAGTGGCTGAGTTGACATTTGTACCCAGGCCCTTCTGACACCCCAGCTTTATCCTTTTTAGCAGGTGACATTGTTTCTCTTTAGCTCCTATTTTCAGAGGCCAAACCCTAGATGTTTCCCTCAATTGGACCTCCCCAGTCCCTACTAAAACAAAACTGTAGACAGTAACACCAGGCATAGATCATATTGTCTCACTCTTGAGTTTAAGGTCTTCTAACCTGCTGGTTATGGGCAAATCAGAGAATGAGGTGGGATGTAGGAAGAAAGAGGGGTTAGGGATGGTGATGTTGCAGGGCCGTAGGGGTGGGGAGGATAACAGGATAGTGGATGTCAGAAGAAACATGTGTAGAGGTAAAATGGTACTCATTCATCAAAGATTCTTTTATGGCTCAATAACCCATTAAACTGTGGGGCCCATTTATAATGGGATCTCATCCAAGGGTGCATTTATTTAATCATTGCTCCACCCTCACCCCCACAGGACCCTTGGGTATTCTCAGCCCTGAGAATATGTATGGTTTTATTTCATAATTGGCTTGTCCCAGAAGGCCTGAGTGCTAGCGGAGGAAATAGCTCACTGAAAGAGAGACAAACACAAAAAAGTTCATGATTATTTTAATGCCTCTACTGAACGGACCTACCAAGACATTGGGGACCTTCAGTGATGGCACTCAAAGCAATCAACCATTTGCTAATTTCAAAGATGATGTTATATTTCTGGATCTTTATGGCTTTGGGCCCTTTTCATCAAGCATAGTCCAACTACAGTCTTAAAATAACTGTTGTCTTTTCATGCAGCCAACATCCACATCTTTTACAATTCATGAGCCACTCCAAATCACGTGGAAAAATATTGGCTGCTTTCATACTAGACAGTGTCCTCATTGGACATGGAGATAAGACCAAGAAGATCCGTTTCTCTTACCCTGGTTACATCAATGAGCCATGCAGCAAGGACCCTTAGAATTTGACCCACTTCTCCCTTGGAGCATCCTGACAAGCCAAGACAAAGAACAGCACCTGGACCTTTGGATCCAGTGAACATTAGTCCTTCTCTGATTATCCAATATCCTAAATGCCCTTGACTTCTCCTCTTTAAAGTTGCAATGCTCTATTTAGGCCTCTACAGTAAATTATAGAAAATGTGCTACAAAATGGAAATCTCTCTGGACCTGGACGAAGCCTGAGATAACGTTAATTCCTCTTTGGCCATATAAAGAGCCCATGTTGTGTCTGTTCTGAATTAGCAACATGTAGATGAAGTGATTCTGATGATGATGATAGAGCTTTAGATTGTAAGCATAATTGCTGCCTTCCAATTGGTTTTTGGTGATGTGAGGCTCATACCAATAGTGGAAGCCAGAGAAATTGCCCAGATGTGGTCTTTTCATTGCTTGTTAAAGTTATTTCCTTTTCATGATACCAACAAGACAGTACAAGCAGTATAGCTTTGGTGAATCTCATTACGTAACCCTTGACTTTTATTTAATAATGACTGAAAAAATCTACAATCCTTCTATCTCTGAAATTCATGTCTTATTATTTTATATGAGCTATATATTCTGAATTCACAATTCTCCAGTTTCATGCCTTTCCCACTTACCCTCACCTTTCATTCTCTAGTGACCCTGGATTGCTAATTGTGCCTCCTATATATCATACCCTTTCCTGCTTCTATGATTCTGAACAGTTTTCTCAACTCTCTCTTTGATTGCCCCAGGGTCTGTTTCACAGGTGGAATCCTCCAGGTCCTTCAAAACCCAATTAAACACAAAGGGAGCAGTGGTGGTAACAAAGCTAACTCTCAGTTTGAACATTAGGGTAAAAGCCACAAGAGGAACAATTCTTATGTAAGGCTTCAGCTACCTCTTCATTTGTATTTGTCCATAAGTGAGAGTTCAATAAATGTTTGTTGAGTTAAAAAATTAAAAATAGCATTCAGACATCATGTTTTTTGAGAAGCTCAAGGTCTCATTAAACCACCTGGCATACACAACTGTGGGCCCAAGAAAGCTTGAGATTGAAAGGGTGAATGGCTACCATAGCATGTACGGATTTAAGTGTCTTAGTTTTTAGTCTGAAAAGATTGGGGGCAGGTGTCTTGAGAAAAGCTAATAGGGCCAAAGGTAATGCTATTTATTTATTTTAAGAGATGGGGTTTCGCTCTGTCACCAGGCTGGAGGGCAGTGGCACAGTCATGGCTCACTGCAGCCTCAACCTCCTAGGCTCAAATGATCCTCCTAGCTCAGCCTAGTAGCTGGAACCACAGATGAATGCCACCATGCCTGGTTATTATTCTTTTTTACTTTTTGTAGAAATAGGGTCTCACTACTTTTGTCCAGGCTGGTCTTGAACTACTGGGCTCAAGTGATCCTCCTGCCTTGGCCTTCCAAAATGCTAGGATTACAGGTGTGAGTCACTGCACCTGGTCTGGTAATCCTTTTTAAATCCTTGTGCTTCTAACTCCCTAGTTCCGTGACCACTCAAGTTTCCAGTGCTACAATGATGGCAGACAAGACCAACCCACAGTTGATGCTACAGCCTGACCTTGCCTGCTGGGAAGTGAAGGAGCAATTATGTCCTATGCTTAAACTGAGTGATGAACACATTGCCGAGGGCCATTTTGGGGGCATGCTTCCATCTCTGCAGAAAGTATAAAACTAAATCAAATAAATATAAACAGAATCATCCAGGGAGGCCTTGAGGCTGATCTCTGCACAATGTTACATCCAGAAGACATAAATTGAACTCAAAAGAACTTTGAAAAGTAATGTATTTAGGGAAGTTCTTCCGAGGATGTAGAGATGAAGAAAAAGATCACATAAGACAGTGAATCAAAATATTCTTAAACCTCAGGAGGTTGATCCACTAAATTTGACTCATTTGTAAAATAAGTTCCGCCAAATGCATGCATTTGTTTCCAATTCCTTAAACTCAAAGTTGTATATCCGCATTGTAAACAAAGATATTTGACCAATAAGAGATAGACAAGTTTAAGAAGTGATGCTGGCCTCAGGATACTGGATGGCTGGCAAGTCAAGACTGGCGTTTCTGGAACAGTCTATTTTCTACTATGTACGATCCATGATGTATAATGAACACATTTCATGTGTATGTCACTTTAATTCTGTTATAATAGGAAAATGTAGCTCAGGAGAGGATAGCTCTGAGGAAAAAGGCCCTTTTTTATGGTACTGTCCCTGCTTCTTAACAAATAAATGATTTTCTTATACATTTAAAAATTATCTCTTCCAATGACATTCAATTGTACTTCTAAATAGGGAGAAAAATGTACGGAAAGCAATGGCTTATTTTGCTGTCTACCCTACAGAAAAATCAGGCTATATTAGAAATTCCACTGCTGACCTTACCTTAGCAGCTGTGTTACTGAAAGCCATTCAACTAATACCGTTTTTCAAAATTTAGATTTATGCATCAGTAAAGCAAATGCCAAATACATTTCTACTGCTTTCATAATGCCTGATGAGATCATATCACAGCTTTTTAGATTGGGTTTAGACTTGATTTTTTAAAGAAACAAAGGCTAAATAGACATCTTTCTCTGTATTAGTGGTTTTTCTTTCATCATTTCTTAATGTATCTTTGGTATCAAAATGGATTCATGTCTGTACTTCAGAGATTCAATGTTTGCTTGAAGGTAAATAGGTGATAGGTTCAGTCTGTGATATGCGTTAAATGTGAGAGATGATGGAAAACTCATCTGAGGTCATCTGGATTGATGGTCTTGAGTGTCAGGTCAGCATGAAAGGTCTCTACCCTCCTTCCAGAGTTTGTTGCCAGAATGTGGTGTCATGAACACAGTTGGATGAGCCACAGCGGTAATGGGGCAAGATAAACAAAGAGGATGAAAAGAGAAGGGAGGTTGCATATTGAGATTGGTGGTAAGGAAAGCCAGAGATACACAAGGAAAGTATAAAACGCAGTCAGGATGAGCAACTCTGTACTTTGCCCAAGAGAGAATTAGTGGTTGAAATCCTTTATGTCAGTATTGCAGAGGTGGATGTCAAGAGAAGAAGGTGGAAAGGTTCCTCTCCTCCAATGAATAGCATGGCAGAAACTGTCAATTAAGCATCAACATCTTTTTTTATCTTCTTGGTAAGTAAAAATACCTCAGATATTAGCCAGACACTTGGATGCTCAGAATCAGACCACACTTTCCAGACTCCCTTGCAGCTAGGTGCAACAATGACTGCGTTCTATCAGAACATAAGCAGAGGTAGTGTGTGCAATTTCCAGGAAATGATGTAGAGGGGGAAAAGTCTTGCTCTTCTCTTAGAATTTTCTCTTTGAAATGCAGATGTGATGGACAGAAAGGATTAGTCATCTTAGAGCACACACTGAAAGCTCTCAGTTGACAGCAGAACTATGAGTTAGAAGGATCTAGTTCTGCGCTGCCTAAATTTTTATGAGAAGGCAATACATTTCTTTTTTTCCTCTTGAACTTATTTTATTTATTTGCTTACTTTTTAATTAAATATTTTTTTACAACAGTTTTAGGTTCTCAGCAAAATGAGGAGGAAAGTGTAGAGATATCCTATATATCCTCTGTCCCACACATACATAGCCTCCCCTATTATTAACACCAACCATCAGACTGGTACATTTGTTACAACTGATGAACCTACACTGACACATCATCACCCAAAGTCCACGGCTTACATTAGAGTTCACTCTTAGTATATACTCTAGGGATCTGGACAAATGTCTAATGATATGTATTAACTATTATAGTATCACACAGAGTATTTTCACAGCCCTAAAAATCCTCCATGTTCTACCTATTCATCACTCTTTTGCCCACAATCCCTGACAACCACTGATCTTTTTACTGTCTTCATAATTTTGCTTTTTCCAGAATGTCATATAATTGGAAACACATAGTAGGTAGCCTTTTCAGATTGGCTCCTTTCACTGAGTAATATGCATTTAAATTTCCTTCATGTCTTTTCATGGCTTGATAGCTCATTTTCTTTTTGGCACTGAAAAATGTTCCATTACCTAATGTACCACAGTTTGTTTATCCATCTGCCCATGAAGGACATCTTGGTTGCTTCTGAGTTTTGGCAATTATAAATGAAGCTTCTATACACATCCTTCAGGTAATATCAAAGAGTATGATTGTTTGATCATATGGTTAGGATATAATTAGTTGTTGTTATTGTTTTTCCTGAGACCAGGTCTCAGTCTGTTGCCCAGGCTGGGATGCTCTGGCATACTCTCAGCTCACTGCAGCTTCAACCTCCCAGGCTCAAGTGATCCTCCTGCCTCACCCTCCCAAGTACCTTGGACTACAGGTGCATGCCACCACACCTGGCTAATTTTTGTATTGTTTGTAGAGGTGAGGTTTCACTATGTTGCCCAGGGTGGTCTTGAACCCCTGAGCTCAAGCAATCTGCCTGCCTTGGCCTTCTAAAGTGCTGGGATTACAGGCATGAGCCACTGCATGTGGCAGGATATTACTCATTTTGCAAGAAACTGCCAAATGTTTTCCAAAAGCTGGACCGTTTTGCATTTCCACCAGCAATAAATGAAAGTTCCTGTCATTCCACATCCTTGTCAGCATTTGGTCTTGTCAGTGTTCTGGACTTTGGCCATTCTAATAGGTATGTAGTGGTTTCTCATTGTTGTTCTTATTTGGATTTTTCTGATGACATATGATGTGAAGCATCTTTTGTCATGGTTATTTGTCATCTGTATATCTTCTTTGGTGAGGTGTTTGTTAAGCTCTTTGACCCATTTTTAAAATTGGGTTGCTTGGTTTTTTATCGTTGAGTCTTAAGAGTTCTTTGGGTTGGTCATGGTGGCTCATGCCTGTAATCCCAGCACTTTCAGAGGCTGAGGCAGGTGGATCACCTGAGGTCAGGAGTTTGAGACCAGCCTGACCAAGATGGTGAAACCTTGTCTCTACTAAACATACAAAAATTAGCTGGGCATGGTGGTATGTGCCTGTAGTCCCAGCTACACAGGAGGCTGAGGCAGGAGAATTGCTTGAACCTGGGAGGCAGAGGTTGCAGTGAGCTGAGATTGCACCACTGCACTCCAGCCTGGGCGACAGAGTGAGAATCCATCTCAAAAAAAAAAAAAAAAAAAAGAGTTATTTGTATATTTTTTCAGATATGTCTTTTGCAAATATTTTTACTCATTCTGTGGCTTGTCTTTTCATTCTCTTGAACTGTCTTTTGCAGAGAAAAAATTTTAATTTTAAAGAAGTCCAGGCTGGGCGTGGTGGCTCACGCCTGTAATCCCAGCACTTTGGGAGGCTGAAGAGGGTGGATCACGAAGTCAGGAGAACGAGACCATCCTGGACAATGTGGTGAAATCCTGTCTTTATTAAAATACAAAAAATTAGCCAGGCATGATGGCGCGTGTCCGTAGTCCCAGCTACTCAGGAGGCTGAGGCAGGGGAATCGCCTGAACCCGGGAGGTGGAGGTTGCAGTGAGCTGAGATCGTGCCACTGCACTGCAACCTGGCCACAGAGTGAGACTGTTTCAAAAAAAAAAAAAAAAAAAAAAAAAAAAGTCCAGCTTACTCTTTTTTTCATGGACTGTGCTTTTGGTGTTATATTTGAAAAGTCATTGCCAACGCAGAGGTCATTTAGATTTTCTCGTGTATTATTTTCTAGAAGCTTTAGTTTTGCATTTTACATTTAGGTCTGTGATTCATTTTGAGTTAATTTTTGTGAAGGGTGTCTTTATCCCTGATATCTTTTTTTGTTTTGAAGTCTGCTTTGTCTGAAATTAACATAGGTACTTCTGCTTTCTCTTGATTAGTGTTAGCATGGTATATCTTTCTTCATACATTTACTTTTAATCTATATGAGTTTTTACATTTAAAGTGGGTTTCTTGTAGCTAACATTTATAGTTGAGTCTTGGTTTTTGATCCACTCTGACAATCTCTGTCTTTTAATTGGTACATTGAGACCATTGATATTCAAAGTGATTATTGATATAGTTGGATTCACACCCACCATATTTGTTCCTGTTTTCTATTTGTTGCCCTGTCATTTTTTCCTTTTTTTTTTTGTCTTCCATTCTTTTTCTGCCTTTTTGGTTTTAATTGAGCATTTTATATCATTCTATTTTCTCTCTTTTCTTAGCATATTAAGTATACTTTTTAAAAAATGATTTTCCTTTAATGGCTCTTAGAGTTTACAATAAATACTTACAACTAATCCAAGCCTACTTTCAAATAACACTGTGCAACTTTTATGGGCAGTGTGAATACTGTATAGTAAAAACCTAACCTCAATTCCTTCCTCTTATCCTTGGTATTATTACTGTTATTCATTTCACTTATACATAAGCATGCATAAACATATATATATATATGTACATATATGTATACACACACACACACACACACACACACAGACACACACACACAAGGTATATAGATGCTCCTCAACTTACAAGGGAGTTATGTTCCAGTAGACTCATCACTTTGCATTTAATAACCTGATAAATCCATTATGATGCTGAAAAATCATGACTATCTGTACAAGTAACCACACAAAATCAAATACATTGTTGCATTAATATTTAGATCAAACTGTTATCTGTTAGATCTGTTAAGAATAAAAGAAAAAAGTTTTTATTTTAGCTTCGTGTATTCCTTCTTTGATGATGCTATTCCTTTTTTTAAATGTAGATCCAAACTTCTGACCCATATTATTTTCCTTCTCTCTAAAGATCTTCTTTTAACATTTTTTGCAAGGCAGGTCTCCTGGCAATGAATTCCCTCAAGTTTTTTGTCTGAGAAAGTCTTTCTTTTTTCTTCACTTTTGAAGGTTAATTTTGCGGGTCACAGAATTCTAGGTTGCTGTTTTGGTTTTTTTTTTCTCAATGCACTTTAAATATTCCACTTCGTTCCCTTTTTGTTTGTGTGGTTTCTGGGAAAAGTCAGATGTAATTCTTATTTTTGCTTCTGTATAAGTAAAGTATTTTTTTCTTCTCGCTTCTTTTAAGACTTTTTCTTTACTTTTGAATTTCTATGGTTTGAAAATGATTTGCCTGGGTGTAATTTTTTTTGAAATTTATTCTGCTTGGTGTTCTCTGAGCTTCCTGGCTCTGTGGTTTGGTGTCTGATACTAACTTGGGGAAAATTCTCAGTCATTATTGTTTCAAATATTTCTTCTATTCCTTTTTCTCTTTTTTCTCCTTCTGGTATTCCCATTCTGCATATTTACATTTTTTGAAATTGTCCCACAGTTCTTGAATCTTCTATTCTGTTTTTCCAGTCTTCCTTCTCTTTCCTTTTCAGTTTTGGAGGTTTCTATTGATATATCCTCAAGTTTAGAAATTCTTTTCTCAGCCATGTCCAGTCTCCTAATTAGCTCCTCAAAGGTGTTCTTCATTTCTGTTACAGTGTCTTATATCTCTAGCATTTCTTTTTGTTTCTTTCTTACGATTTCTGTCTCTTTGCTTACCTTGTCCATGTGTTCCTGCATTCAGCCTACTTTATCCATTACACCCTCTAGCACACTAATCATAATTGTCTTAAATTTCTGTCTGCTAATTCCTACATCTTGCCATGTCTAGTTCTCTTGCTTGCTCTGTCTCTTCAAACTGTGTTTTTTGCCTTTTAGTATGCCTTGTACTGTTATCTGGATAGCTGGACAGGATGTACTGGGTAAAGAGAACTGCTAGAAATAGGCCTTCATAACATGGTGGTAAGGTATTGGGGGAGCATTTTACAGTCCTGTGATTAGGTCTGAGTCTTTCAATGGGCCTGTGCCCCTGGGCTGTGAACCTCAAGTGCTCCTCAGTTCCTCCCCCAGCCCCATCTCCTTTATTTGGGACAGGATTGCTAGTATGTCCCTTTCCCCAACTCAGTTAAGCTCTGATAAAACATCAGCAAGTTAGACTGTGGTTAACTAGTTTCCGGCGAGGGCAGGCCTTGTTTGGCTGGACTGGATAGACTGCTCTGTAGTATTAGGTTTTGCATTACTTTTTTTTGTGTTGCTTGTTTGTTTGTTTTTGAGACAGAGTCTCACTCTTATCGCCCAGGCTGGAGTGCAATGCGTGATCTTGGCTCACTGCAACCTCTGCCTTCCGGGTTCAAGCGATTCTCCTGCCTCAGCCTCCAGAATAGCTGGGATTACAGGTGCTTGTCACCATGCCTAGCTAATTTTTGTATTTTTAGTTATCTACTAAAATTAGTAGATAACTAATTAGTAGATAACTAAAACTAGAAAAATTAGCCAGGTGTGATGGCACGCGCCTGTAGTCCCAGCTACTCGGGAGACTGAGGCTGGAGAATCGCTTGAACCTGGGAGGCAGAGGTTGCAGTAAGCCGAGATTGGGCCATTGCACTCCCGACTGGGTAACAGAGCGCTACTTCGTCAAAAAAAAAAAAAAGAAAGAAAGAAAAAGAAAAAAAAAGAAAAGATAACCTTTATCCATACACTTGTGAAAAAATTATATTTCAGATATCAGTCTGAATAATTATTGTTGAGTGTAAGATTAAAGCAAATGGCATTAAAGTGTGACCAGTATATCTGTATCTCTAAGAGTGTTTTTAAATTTCAACAGAAGCTCCTGACTCAAATAGATCTTCATTTGATGAACTATATTGGTGATATATGTATTGACTGGTGAGTTCTTGATTATTTCTGGTCTACTCTGAAAGCTGTGACTCCACTGGTCCTCAGTACCGTATTTGTAGGCTGCCTTTTTTAAATGTTCCTGAAGCTACAAATATATAAAATTGATGATATTATTCATTCACTCAGTAAGTGTTTATTCGGCTCCTACTGTGTGGGTGGAACGCCACTATGCTAGGTTCTGGGAATAAACTGAGAGTGACAGTCATGGTTCCTGTGTTTATGGACTTTACAGTCTATAGGAAGTCACAGGAAAAACCATCAGCCGGACCCTTGAAACACTCAGAGGATTGTTAATTAATCCTGTTTAGTTAACAGGATTTGGGTGATGTATTGTTAATCACTGAGCTGAAAGGAAATTTAAGAGATCCAGATTGATAGTTACCTTTGTATTCTGCTATTATTTCTATGGGATCACCTTATGACCATTGTAGGATATTACATCTTATTGAATTCTCTTATCTTTTTTCTAAGAAATTGTTCTTAGGTAGGTTACAAGAATGTTCTGTTGTGCTCAGATAAGGGAATTTTTAAAAAGCAATCATGCAATTATTTTAATGAATTGTAGGAAATACAAGCACCTGATAAGAAATTCTATGTTTCGTTTAAATTAACGAAGCTGTTCTTGCAGTATACCATGTGGTGGAAATGTTTTTCTTCAAACCACTATACTTGGTCTTCCCATTAAATATAACATTTTTTAATTGTTGTATTTTGGTTCTTAGTTTTGGAAAAACCAAAACATCATACCAACATGGCATTATTTTTATGCATCGAATATTAAGGTATACAATAATTGCATTTTAAAAAATTCCAAATATTTTCCATTTCATTCCAATTTATGATAAGCAAATTAGGTAAGAAAAAAATTAATGCACCCACCTAAAACCCTTTAAACAATTCTTTCTTTTTAATTATCTTTTGGTAATAAAGATGACAAAAATAGTCAGAATTCCAATATTAATCTTACTTCAGGGAAAAAAAAAAAGGAGACTCTGTTGAGTGGTTGAATGCCATCCTTTTTTTTTTTTTTTTTTTTTTTAGGGATGCTTTTTGTTACATCTCTTTCTAGCTCTTTTCTCATTATCTGCCTGGGAAATCCTGGCCATCTTCAGGACTCAGATCAAGCATTAGCTCCTCTACAAAACCTTTGCAGTGCCTCTTCTTCCTGGGCAGAGCTGGTGTCTCCAAGCTCTGAGTTCTGTAGCACTTCATTATAGCACTTTCTATGCTGAACTGTAATTATTTGTTTACTCTCCTGTCCCTCCCGTTAGACCTTGCCATTCCCAAAAGCACATACTATGTCAGATTCATCTTTGTATCCTCTGCTTTGGAAACACTGCCTGACACTCATCAGGGCTCAGTAAGTGTTGGATAAACAAGTTAATATGCAAAGAACCTGATAGGAAGCCAACACTGAAGAGTTTGCTCAGGACTCTTGGGTATCATTTGAGATCAGCTATGTCAATATGTGGTTCAGTTCCTGTGTATATAAGCATTACCTAATTTAATCCTCATTACAACCCAGGGAAGCAAGCACTGCTACTCTTGATTTACCAATGAAGAGACTGATGCTTGCTGCGGTTACGGAGCTCGCCTATATTGGAAAGCGCGGCTCCATGTAGAGAGTCATTCTCAATCAACAACAGCTGTTATTATCAGCACACGGAAGAGGAAGAGGCCTTATTCTGCGTTGTTCCAGAAACCAAAATGAGAATTGGCATATGGACTTCAACTTGTTGATTTTAGCTCAAGAAAAACATTTATTACATGTTTAGAACTGTCCAGCAGTGAAACAGCTTCTGTGAAAACCTAGAAAACTCTCTGTTCTTTGACATATTCACACTCATGCTGGGAAGGTGTTTCAGGGAATCCGGCGCTGAGATTTTCTCATTGGATGGGATGGGAGACAAGACTGAATGGCATGTGCCAATCCATGGCTGCTGGTTGATTCCTCCACCTAGGGGCCCCTACCTAGAATATGCATGCCCCAACAACTACACCACTCTCTGTCCTCTCGCCCAGCTTTATTCTCTTTCATAGCACACGTCACTACTTGTAGTAATAGCATGTTCTTTCTTTATTTGTTATTTTTATTTTCTATTTTTTGCTGCCATCCAAACCAAAATGAAAAGTCCTTGAGGACAGGGACTGGATCATGTTCACCACTGAGTCCTCAGTAGAAGCTGGCTCTCACAGGGGCTTGGCAAATATTTGTTGAACGAATCAATGTCAAATATCCCACTTACATGCTCAAATCTAGATGTGGACTTAGAAACACATCTATTCTCTTACATCCTCCTTGCTCCTTCAACCAGCTTCCTTCATTCTTCTCTGCTACCCTTGTTCCCCCAGCCAGCCACTCTTCAGATGATTTGGTGATCCCTGTAAGGAGACATTCCTCTGAAAGAGTTCCCTTGCGCTTCTGTGAAGGACCTAAGACCTACTGCCAGCAGTGCTGGGGAATTCCACAGTGCTGGGGAATTCTGTGTGTGGTATTCTCCTCACTTCTCAGGCCATTTGCCATTCCCGGGCACATATGGAAATCCCTTAATTATCAACATTGGTGTGACAGTGCATACTCTAATCCAGCGTTTCAAGCACAGCAGAAAGAAGGAAAAGAAGTAGATCCTTCCCTTTAGAAGAACGAAGTCAAATAAATGGGAAGAAAATATGGTCGGGCGCGGTGGCTCACGCCTGTAATCCCAGCACTTTGGGAGGCCGAGGTGGGCGGATCACGAGGTCAGGAGATCGAGACCATCTTGGCTAACACGGTGAAACCCCGTCTCTACTAAAAATACAAAAAATTAGCCGGGCGCGGTGGCGGGCGCCTGTAGTCTCAGCTACTCCGGAGGCTGAGGCAGGAGAATGGCGTGAACCCGGGAGGGGAAGCTTGCAGTGAGCCGGGATCGCGCCACTGCACTCCAGCCTGGTGACAGAGCGAGACTCCATCTCAAAAATAAATAAATAAATAAATAAATAAATACATACATACATACATACATACATACATAAAAATCTATTATAGGGGACTATTATATCCCACTCCTAATGTTTCCCTCCGTGTGGAGGAATTTCCACTAGAGAAATGCTCCTGGCCTCTCTCGTCTTTCTGGCTTACTTATCCCTGAAAGAAGGGGAGTGGCTTTTTCTGAGAAGCGCATTTGAGAGAAAGGACCCTCCCTCCCTCCCTTTCTCCCTCCCTCCCTCCCTCCCTTTCTCCCTCCCTTCCTTCCTTCCTTCCTTCCTTCCTTCCTTCCTTCCTTCCTTCCTTCCTTCCCTTCCTTCCTTCCCTCCTTCCTTCCTTCCTCTTTTCTTCTGAGAGGAAACCTGTGCTTTAGTTTGCTGTCTGCCAAATGGTTAGTTTAGCAGTCAAGACTGCTTCTTTCGATGGGGAGACCTGATGTTTTCTATTGCTACCTACAGCTGGGTGGGTATTTCTGATTCATGGTGGGGATGCAGTTTTAGGAACATCTTACCATTTTCCATCTAAGCTGTGCCCATTCATTGGGTCTTTATCAATAACAAAGAAAAATTTTTAAACTTTCTTGTTTCTCTGCCTTTTGTCTCTCTTTTAGCGGGTTCTAAACTTGGGTGGTAAGAAGAGGTGAAATTTTAACCCCTTAAGAGCTCAATAAAATAGAAAAGTAGGATCATATTATGGTTGAAATCTTCTCTCTCATCCAGGTAGTGTGTAATAGAGGAGTTGGGCTTCCCACAGATTCTCCTCTCAGGTCCAGGAAAATGATGGTTTCCCCATGTCTGTTTATCACTGCATGAGTGAGTTGGGGATTTATTGAATATAGGGTACTGAGGGCCCCAGGACATCTCCTGAGATCTGAGTGAAAAGACCCAGGTGATAGGTACAAGATGTTATTCTCCAAGGAGGTTGGAAATCACTGCTCTCCTCATCCCCAAGTATGGCCTGAAAATGCCTAAGTCTCTCTTTGAATTCCTGACAAGAATTTCCTGGGACCTCTTGCATCTGGCTAATAGCAGGTTTTTTTTTGTTTTTTTTTTTCTAGTTCTCTTCTTATATGTCTGCCCCTTCTCAAAAATGAGACCATATAGGGGTGAATTCCACTGCCATCAGCCTAGTCATTTTGCATTTGTGATTAGATTCCAAAGAAAAGCTAAATTCTAGTGTGTTCTAGGTTTGATTCACAACCACAAATGACATTTTAACTGTCATTAAACTTTCAGAATAAAGACAATGACAATCATCTCAGATAATAATCCTATTCTTCCATCAGTCACTTGGTCAAGATGAGTATCTACAGAACTTCCTTCTGTCCTTTGTCTTTCAACTTGATTTCTAGTCTCTTTCTAAATCTTTATCCTCTACTGCATTTAATGCTTGGAACTTGGGAGACTCCATAGACACGAATTAACTTGCTTTAGTCTGCTTTCCTCTTGTCTCTTCCTATTTAGCAGAGTTCCCAGCTCCTGATCACTTCGGCTGTCACATACTTCTTACCACTTTTGTTAAACACTCTTTCCTCCTTATGCTGGAATCTCAACACTGGAAGCATAGGTGAAACCTATAGATAGATAATTGATTATTCCTGCCCCGCAACAATAAGAATAAATGCTAGAAGCAATGGGATTAATAAGGAGTGGAAGATACAATTCATTGAGCTTTACGCTTATAATTTATTCTCCTTTTTGGGTGTACTTTAATCAATGAGCATATGGATTGAAGTTAGTTTATTAACTATTATTTTGTTAGTTCGTTTTTAAGGCAGTGAACAGACTGTTAACAACAGGACTGAGCTCTGGGCTAGGAGGCAGTGATTCACTGGAAAGATCAGAGCCTGTCTGAGAAACAGGGCAGTAAACAGAAAGCTCAGTGATGTATGAGTGCTGAAGACTTTTTTGTTAAGATGCACAGGTGAGACATTTTTCTTCATTGCTCTTCATTCTTTGAGCCTACCTAACATGATAAAGGCAGGGGTCTTGATAATCCTCAGAGAAGAGAGCAGGCCAGTTGCCATGGTGTCTTCTGGCTTGAGGCACAAACAGTTCTCAGGGGTGGGTTTTCTCATTAATGGGCTGGCGGGTCAAGGTGCTGTGGATTTGATGCTATCCCGTGCAATGTTCGCAACCCTCCTGTGGAGGAAGTATTAGGCCTCTCTATACAGAGGAAGAAAGGGAGACAGAGGGGACAAAGTAACTAGCAAATGTCAAACGGCTGTGAATGACAGGACTTGAATGAGGTCCATCATTTCTAAGCCCAGAAGCTTCACTCCATTGTCACACTGCCTTCACCGGATCCCACGACTTCTTGTGGTTCCCTTATTCATCGTTGATTCATTTCATCCACCACTGTAGTCTCCTTGCCCTCTAGAAGGTCACAATCTGGTACCTGACAGTAGTGAGTCAAGCAACCAGCTCGGGTGGGGGAGGCTGAGACCCCACAGCATGCTGGGAGTGCTGGCTGCGGCACCAAAACACTTATCCATGCTGGTTTTATTTCTTCCAGGAGGAAGACAGAGAATCTAGGAAGGTGCCAGGGATGATTTCTCATCCCAAAGCCCTGGGAGAAATCCCATCTCTGGGCAAGAAGAGAATCTGAACGCAAATGGATGAAGATGCTAATGAGGCTCAGATGATGAGAGCACACTAGGCTCACAGCATGCTGACAAATCCAGAAACAGGCTATGCTTCCCTCCCGCCTTCCTAAGACTTCAGCTAAGACACTGCACATGCCCGTCCCTCTGCAGGAAGGCCATCCACAGTTATATCTTGCTTTAAAAAAGCAAAACTTTGAAAAATAAAATGTACAAAATTGGGTAGTTATTTGCATTATAAAGCAATTTCATTTATTTAAACAGTCTACTGAGCTCATATAGGGCATGATTTGGGCTATAGAAATTCAGTTAGAATTGAGATTTACACCAAAAAGTTGACTATGAAAGGCCTAGTTTTATCCCCTGAATTGGAAGCTTGTGGTGAGAGAATGCAACATAAACACAAACTATTGGAAATATTTGCAACTGAGGTGCAAAGACAATACATGTCTTATTGCTCTGCTGCACACTGGGGCTAACGAACTTTCTAAACCTGCCTTGATATCCTCTCTTGACCAAAAAACAGTGACATTTTCACCTCCTGCCATGTCACCCCCAAAATCTGAGGCAGCCAGCAACATTATCCACATTGGGGCGGTGGGGAAGCAAGCCCCAGCCGATGGGGGCATACCTGGGTTATTGCCTCTGAACCGTGTCAGATAGCTGTTTAAATTTTTAAATCCACACTTAAACCTTGGGTCCTGGGTCGGCACTGGTTCAAAGCAAGGGCACAGAGGAATGATCTGAGCTGTTTGTTGCTGCTACTGCAGGAGGATCAGATGAACAGGTCACACCGTGCATCACACTGGTCATACAATCTCAGTAGGTGTTTATTCTGGGCTCTGTGTCACAGATGCTAACACTCACCACTTGGTATCGAGACTGGAAATAGCACGCCCTTTTTAGAACCCACAATGGCTCTCAAGAAGCTAGTCTCAGATAAAAACCTTGAGCCTCATCTTGGGGATTTGCCAGCGTCTGACCTGCAAACCTGTTTATCCACCCTTACAAAGAATTCTACTCATTTTCTGCTTTTATGCATTTACTCATCAGATATAGACTAAACTGCCAATTTATTCTTTGAAATTAAGCTTTTTCACCTCCACAATCCTACAAGGGTTTGACCCTCACGAGGACAATGACACCGTCTGTCTATTTTTATTTAACAGTTGTGTCTCCGGGCATAGCCCACTGCTAGAATTATGCCTCCTGTGACTTTGCTGCCAGTTGTCAGGACAAACTGTAAAGCCACAGTAATTCAAACGGTGTAGGACTGATGCACAAATGAACAGATCAATTCCAGGGGCAGAAGAGATGGCCTAGAAACAAATCAAAGCATATATTAAAATGAGTTTTTGAGTTTACTTTTTATAAAAAATCCTTATTGAACAAATTTATGCTCCGTTCATGATAGTGGTGCTCACAAAACGTTGGTGAACAAGACAGGTACAGTCCCTGTCTCAGTGGAGCTACTAGTGGATGGTGGGAAAGGAAAACTTTAAATGAATAGTTTCACTTGTGATATGTGCTCATGAGGGATGGAGCACTTGTGCTCTCATCTCAGAAACTTTATACTCATTGCTTCTTCTGGAATTTTTCTTTCCTCATTTCCCAAGGTATTTTCCTGTTACCTGAGGTGATGCAGGTCTTTACTGAAATCTCACCTTCATTGAAGGTGGTCTTGTCTGACCACCCTTTCCTAAACGTCAGTCTCATTACTATGTTGACCTCTTTATTCTTATTTGTTACACATATCACTACCCAACAGAATGTTATATAATACATGTCTTTATTTGCTTATAGCTTGTCCCTGCCACTAGAATGAAAGCTACCTGAAGATAGGATTATTGTTCACTTTTATATTCACAGCCCCTGGAGGAGTACCTCCCTGGGAGAAGATGCCAATTGAATGCAAAGTAGTGATAAGTGTCACTTTGATGACAATTTGCCTTCTTAATCAGCAGAAAAAGCACATGTTAATCAATAAATTATTTGAGCATAAGTAGTTTCCCATATACCCCTACATTATTCTACATTTATCAATAAATGCCAGGTAGGTTGAGCTGCTTAATAAATCTATTACAGAAGCATATTTGAAAGAAAAGAACAACATGTCACAGTAGTTTATCACAGATGGCATATCACAAAGTGATTGCCATGTAACCATCACCCAGATGTAACCATCACCACCCCAACAGACCCCGCGACCCTGCCAGTTAGGGAAGCCAACCACCTCAGTTTGTTTAGTATTAACTCAGTTTTAACACTGCAATCCCTTGTCCTTGTTAACTCTTCAGTTATTAGAAAACTAGGATGGAGTGGTGAGAGAGGGCATCCTTGTCTTGTGCCGGTTTTCAAAGGGAATGCTTCCAGCTTTTGCCCATTCAGTATGATATTGGCTGTGGTCAAAACCACAGTGAGATACCATCTCATGCCAGTTAGGATGGTGATCATTAAGAAGTCAGGAAACAACAGATGCTGGAGAGGATGTGGAGAAAATGGAACGCTTTTACACTGTTGGTGGGAGGATAAATTAGTTCACACATTGTGGAAGACAGTGTGGCAATTCCTCAAGGATCTAGAACCAGAAATACCATTTGACCCAGCAATCCCATTACTGGGTAGATACCCAAAGGATTGTAAATCATTCTACCATAAAGACACATGCATACATATGTTTATTGCAGTGCTATTCACAATAGCAAAGATTTAGAACCAACCCAAATGCCCATCAATGATAGATTGGATAAATAAAATGTGGCATATATTTACCATAGAATACTATGCAGCCATAAGAAAAGGATGAGTTTATGTCCTTTGCAGGGACATGATGAAGTTGGAAACCATCATCCTCAGCAAACTAACACAGGAACAGAAAACCAAACACGGCATGTTCTCACTCATAAGTGGGAGTTGAACAATGAGAACACACGGACACAGGGAGGGGAACATCACACACTGGGGCCTGTTGGTGGGTTGGGGGCTAGGGGAGGGATAGCATTAGGAGAAATACCTAATGTAGGTGATGGGTTGATGGGTGCAGCGAAACACCATGGGACGTGTGTACCTATGTAAAAAACCTGCACGTCCTGCACATGTATCCCAGAGCTTAAAGTATGATTAAAAAAAAAAAAAAGAAAGAAAGAAAACTAGGATGGGAGGTCACTGTATTTAAAGTCCCTACAGTACTTTTCTGCTAACGTCACCTCTTTCCTGATTTCCAGTACTGTAAATTAGCTTTGTCTAGTTTTGAACTTCATATAAATGAAATCATGTAGTTCTCTTGCTCGATATTATTTTCATGAGATTTATTCACATTTTGCACATAGAAGAGACTCATTTATCTTGTCGCTATAAAATATTTTATTTATTTATTCATTCTACTATCAATCGACATTTGGATCATTTCTAATTTTTGGCTATTATAAATAAAGATGCTGTGAGCATTCTTCAACATGGCTATTACTGGTGAACCTATGTTATACATTTTTTTCTTTTAATTTTTATTTTTAGTTCCGGGGTACATGTGTAGGATGTGCAGGTTTGTTACATGGCTAAACATGTGCCACAGTGGTTTGCTGCACCTATCAACCCATCACCTAGATATTAAGTCCAGCGTGCATTAGCTATTTTTTCTAATACTCTCCCTCCCCTCGCCCCGTATGTATGCATTTCTGTTGGATATATCTATCCTGAGGAACAGAACTGCTGGGTCACAAAGTATGAGTATGTTCAGCTTTAGCAGGTACTGCCAAATACTTTCGCAAAGTACTTTCACCAATTTACACTCTTACTGGGAGGGTGTGAAGGTTACAGTTTCTCCATAATTGACCAATACTTGGTCTGGTCAATCCTTTTAATTTTACATATTCTTCTAAGTGTGTAAGTGGTATCTTATTATGGCTTTAGTTTGCATTTTCCTGGTGATTATCATATGTTTTAGAAAGCATCTGTTCAAATCTTTTGTCCAATTTTATATTGAATTGTCTATCTTTTCCTTATTTATTTACTCTTTATATATTTTGAATATGAATCTTTTGTTGGTAAAACAGATTAAAATACATTCTCCAATTCTGTGGCTTGACATTCCATTCTCCCAATAGTGTCCAGTGTATCTACTTTGTCATTTATAAGAAATATTTGCCAAAATGAATAACTTTGAAGAGATATTCTCCTATATCTTCTATAAGCCATTTAAAACGAAATTTTGGAGCTGAGCATGGTGGCTCATGCCTATAATCCCAGCACTTCGGGAGGCTGAGGTGGGAGGATCATTTAAGCCCAGGAGTTCAAGACTAGCCTGGGCAACAAAGTGGAACCCTGTCTCTACAAAAAATATAAAAAATTAACTGGGCATGGTGGCGCATGCCTGTAGTCCCAACTACTCGGGGGGCTGAGGCAGGAGGATCCTTGAGCCTAGGAGGTTGAAGCTGCAGCGAGTTGTGATTGTGTCACTGCATTCTGGCCTGGGTGACAGAGCAAGACCTTGTCTCAATAAATAAATAAATAAATAAATAAATACAATTGGATTTTGTATGTGTGTTAAAGGAAGGTTTAAGTTTTGTTTTATTTTGTTTTGTTTTTGCACCTGAATATCCAGTTGACACAGCATCACTGATTGTCAACACATTCATTTTTTCCTCTGCTGTGTAGTATCACCTCTGTCATAAATCAAGTGTCCATATATGTATGGATCTATCCCTGGACTCCCATTCTGTTCCATTAGTCTACTTGTCTATCCTTGTACTAATTTACTAATTAATATATTAATTACAGTGCCTTTATAATAAGTATTGATATTTGATGGTAGAAGTATTTCAAATTTATCCTAACTACTCTTTATATTTGTATTTCCATACAAATTTCAAAATTCAGGATGTCAATTTCCACGCACCCACACACACACAAAAAGATATCTTGGCAGGAATTTAGGTCAACTTGGAAAAATCAACAAATTTACATTCCAATCCATGTATCATGTGCCTAAATAAGTGTCCTCCACTTATTTATGTCTTCTTTACATCCTTCTTATACTGTTATATATGTTTATTTGTAGAAGTCTTTCATATTCATTATGTTTAGTTGTTCGAATTTTTTGACACTCTTCTACATAGTTTCATTTGTTTAATTCATTTTTAATTGTTGCTGGTTTGTGTTGCAGTTTATTCATGATACTGCCCTTGTATCCAACAACTTTGCTAAATTCATTAACTAATTCTAATTGTCATTTTTACTATGTGTACAATCATGTTGTCTGTGAATAACAGCAGCTTAATTTCTATTTCATTTTTTCTAATCCATGTACATTTATTATATATATATATATGACTATATATTTTTTATTTAGTGATGTATTACCATGGTCACAGCCTCTAATACAATGCTGAATAGGCCTGGAGAGCTCAGGTGCAATGGTTGGATGTGTTCCCCAAAGTTCATGTGTTAAAAACTTGTTCCCTAATGATGTAGTGTTTGGAAGTGGGTCCTAATGGGAGTTGTTTGGGTTATGTGAGCACTTCTCTCATGAATGAATTAATATTTTTATCACAGGAGCGGGTTCCTTATAAAAGAATGAATATGGCTTGTTCTTGTTCTCTCTATTGCCCCTTGTCTTCCGCCATGGGATGACACAGCAAGAAGGCCCTCACCAGATGCTGGCAAATTGATCTTGGATTTCCCAGCCTCCAGAACTGTGAGGAAATGAATTTCTATGTTTTATCAATTGCCTAGTCTCAGGTATTCTGTTTTAGCAACACAAAACACTAAGACAGCAGGCATCACAGTCTTGCTCCTGATCTCTGCTGAAAATTGTAATAGTTGATGATTAAGTATGGTATTTGTTGTTGGTGCTTTGTAGACACCCTTTGTCAGATTAAGGAGATTCCCTTTAATGCCTGGTTCTAGGAGATTTTTTTAAAAAATCATCAATCACGGTTAATTTTGTCATACTTTATCCTTCATCTATAAAGATAGTTATTTAGTTTTTCTCCTTTACTTTTTCTTCTTTATTCTATTAATGTGATGAATTAAGTTCTGAATCTTAAACCAATCTTGAATTCCTAAGATAAGCTTAAGATTGGTACCAAAGTATTATCTTTTTAGTATATCCTTGATCTTGGTTTGCAATTTAAGATCATTTTGATCTATGTTCCTAAGAGGAATTCACCTGGAATTTTCATTTCATTTCTTTTTTTTTTTTTTTGAGACGGACACTTGCTCTGTTGCCCAGGCTGGAGTGCAGTGGTGTGATCTCTACTCACTGCAAGCTCTGCCTCCCAGGTTCACACCATTCTCCTGCTTCAGCCTCCCGAGTAGCTGGGACTACAGGCACCTGCCACCATGCCCAGCTAATTTTTTTTGTATTTTTAATAGAGATGGGGTTTCACCGTATTAGCCAGGATGGTCTCAATCTCCTGACCTTGTGATCCACCCACCTCTGCCTCCCAAAGTGTTGGGATTACAGGCATGAGCCACCGCGCCCAGCCTTGAATTTTCATTTCTTATAATACCTTGTCAGTTTTGGGAACCAAGGTTATGTTGGCCTCCTAATACTAGTTAGAAAGTCTTCATTCTCTGTTTTCTGAAGGCCGTTATACTTCCCTTAATATTTTAAATAATGCACCAGTGGAGTCATCTTGTCTTGAAATTTTCTTTGGAAGGTTGTGTATGCATTTGTGTGTAAAACAACAACCAGTTTATAATAATCATAATTTTGTGGGTTGAGAATTTAGGCAGGGCACAGGAGAAACAGCTCTTCTCTGCTTTATCATGTATGAAGGAAATACATCCATTATTTATAGTTACAATTTTAAGGCTAGGAGAGTCATTAAAGATAATCTAGTCTATCTGGTCTGGAAGCCATCTGATCTCAGAGTTTTCTTTGTAAATAGTTATTTTAACTCTATGTATATTTCAAATACATTTTTGAATTTTTAATTTTGTGCCCTTTTTCAGTTTTCTGATGTTCTTTCTCAGTTATCATCTCTTCAAATATTGCTTCTGCTCCATACTTTTTCTCATTCTCTTCTGGTGTACCAATTATCTAAATATTCGATCTTTTAAAGGTATACCATATATTCTATATGATCTTTTATGTATTTACATGCTTTTTTTGTCTTCATCCATAGTCTGGCTATTTTTAATCAACCTGTTTTTCCAGTTTATTAATCCTTTTTTCTCCTGTGTCTAGTCTGTTGCTCAATTCACCTAGTGAGCCCTTACTTTTATAATACATTTTCAGTTCTAGAATTTTCATTAGACCCTTTAAAATATCAAATTCTCATGTAATTCTCTACTTGTCTTTTTTCCTGTTTTCTTTTAAACTTGATTTTTAGTCACTTTCCCTAACTCCTAACATGCCTGGTAATTTCTTTATTGAGAGTCAAATATTATTTATGGAAAATGACTTAGATCATCTGAGACTCTGCCTGACATCTTCCTCCATGGAGGATTAATTTTTTTCTTTCTGACAGTCAGTTAGAATAGGGTCATATCTCCTTTAGTTTGGGTTGAGTGGTTTGAATACTGGTTTCAGTTTTTGCGAGGAATGGTTTATTTCCAGCTCATCTTTATTCATAGAGTTTATCCTTCCTATTGGTTCTAACTAGAGGTCTAGGGAGTTTACCAGGGCTTCTATTATTTGCTGAGCTCTAATCTTTAATGTTTGTCTCCCCAGCTCTGCGGGTTACAAAAATCTTTGTTCAGACTCTCAGACTCTTAGACTCCACTTTGTACCCTGCTTCCTAGTCACTTGGCCCTGAGTTGTTTCAGAATTGGCAGATACCTCAAGAGGAAAAATTCTAGAATGTTGGGCTCACATCAGTATTCTCCTTTCTACTGCTTTTATGGCTCCCCAGTGCCTTCAAATAGAACTTTTGAAAAAAATCTGGACCACATATTTCAGTTTCTTGGTGGAAGGATTCATCTGCAACAGGCTACTCTGCCAGAAATAGATCACATCTTATTCCCTACCTTTCATTCAGTTAAGAAGAATTTTAGCAACTAGATGATGTTGCCTCAGTGACAAACATTTCAATGACAGTGGACAATCTAGAGTATCTTAGAATGTGTGAATGTCATAAAAATAATTAAAGAAAGAATATCATCAAAATTCAAAATTTTAAATGAGCCTTTAAGTAATTAAAACTAACATTAATTCAAATACCATTCCTGACTTAGGAGATGAATGCAATTTCACCCTGAGCACTTCATATCAGTTGGAAGGTAATTCTTACATTGTAAATAAAGATAACAATGATTGACAGTTCATACCTGCAGAGTCTATGTCACTAACATGAATGGGACAATAGATGACAAATTCAGTGTAGTGTGGACAATTGTTGAAAACTGAATCTGGCAGCAAGAACTCAAGTAAGGTTATTGAACTGAAAGTAATAAGCAGTTAAAGTGATAATTAAGATAAAAGTTCGGTGGATACTGAGCTAAAAATTTAAATTTACCAGCTAAATCTATATATCTGTAGTTTATACAGAATAATCTGTCAATATATCTATAGATTACACAGAATAATCTATAAATATATCTATAGATTACATATTGTATCTGCATCAGTCTGTTTTCACACTGCTATAAAGGACTACCCGAGACTGGGTAATTTATGAAGAAAAAAGTTTTAATTGACTCACAGTTCTGCATGGCTAAGGAGGTCTCCGGAAACTTATAATCATGGTGTAAAGCGAAGGGGAAGCAAGGACCTTCTTCACATGGTGGCAGGAGGCGGGTGGCGAGGAACTGCCAAATACTTTTAAACCATCAGATCTCATGAGAACTCACTCACTATCATGAGAACAGCATGGGGAAAACCGCCTCCATGATCCAATCAACTCCCAGCAGGTCCCTCCCTTGACACGTGGGGATTACAATTCAAGATGAGATTTGGATGGGGACAAAGAGCCAAACCATATCAATATCTATAATCTATAGATTAGGATAGCATATATGTTTGTCTTTATATACCAATTACAGCGAACTATCTGTAACATACTGGATGACTACATTGAGAAGAATTTTGAGGCTGTATCCAAGCCTTGGGGAAAAAACAACTGTGATCAATTAGTAATCCCTGCCACTGACCGCACATGTGTCAAGTGTCTGCCATCTGTGATGAAGATGTTGCACAAAGATGTATTTATGAACATAACAATGTTGAATAATCAAAATTATCATCTTGAGGCAATCCCATCTGCTTCTTATACTTTATGGCTATGTTATTATATCAACCATCCAGGTCCAGTATTCCTTGCGCCATTGAAGTTGCAGAACATGCGTCATTCCTGTACTGTGACTGGCACCATATTCATCTGGGTGTTCATGCTTTCATCTTGTTCATGATTTTGTCCTGCACTGCCTGTGCTGATCATGTATGTGTGCGGCATCTCTACTCATCGCTGCTTCTTCTGGCTTCCGATCTTCATGCTCATTCTTCCACTTTGAGCCTCATCTTGCCCTTGAGCGCTGGTGTTTGAGTCTGTTTTCCAAGTCAAGGCCATGGCTCCTTTCCTTAATAAAAATTCCCATTTGATTCTTCTGGTTACATTGCCTCTGGTCACCTAGACATGATGAGCCGAACAGGTAAGACAACGTGGAATCATGAAGTTGGGTGATTTTTGGCTGTTCTACGCAGAAATGCCTGGCATGTTCAGTGTCCCCCAAATACTCCAATTCACATGGTCTCAGCTTCTTGTATTTTCCTGCCAAGTTCGTCACTACTTTACTCTTTTTTTCTCCCCCAGCCTCTCCATAATATTACTTTCAAATGGAACTCAAAAGACCATCGGTAGCTCATCTCTGATGATCTTTCTACTTTATCCACATGTGGTTTTCTTTTCAGCTGCCATTAGCTTCTGTTCAGGATCCCATAACACCACAACCAAGTCCAATCTTCACGGTGACTTCTGCTCTACTGGCCAGGTTCTAAATATTTTCTGTTTGCACTTCATTGCAGGAGTTTCAAAAATGTAGAATTTTAATGAAATTTTAGTCTGTAGAACCATACCTGTGTTTTCAACTTATTAATAAAGACTTGTTCTCCTAAACCTAAAAGATTAGAATATCTTATTTCTATACATATCATACAAAATATTTATCAACAAACTTGAGCATGCAGTTTTCCTTTAAGCTCTTCTAACCATGCATACTTTATGCACTTAACTTTTAACTTAGTAAATATTTTTACTTCAGTACCATAAATTCCCTCTCATTAAAACAACCCAGCAAGCCGGGCGAGGTGGCTCATGCCTGTAATCCCAGCACTTGGGGAGGCCGAGGCAGGTGGATCACAAGGTCAGGAGATCGAGACCATCCTGGCTAACACAGTGAAACCCCGTCTCTATTAAAAATACAAAAAATTAGCCAGGTGTAGTGGCACCTGCCTGTAATCCCAGCTAATCGGGAGGCTGAGGCAAGAGAATTGCTTGATCCCAGAAGGTGGAGGTTGCAGTGAGCCAAGATCGTGCCACTGCACTCCAGCCTGGGTGATAGAGCAAGACTCTGTCTCAAAAAGCAAAACAAAACAAAACAACCCAGCAAAAGGGGACAATGACATTGAAAGCATGTATCCCCAAAGCCACATCTGTCACATTTTCTTTCCAGTTGAACAATTCTGCCATGCCCCTCTCCTGCACTCTGTCCTTCCAAACCAGGAGTTGGCTAACTATGGCCTATGGGCCAAATCTAGCCCTCCTCCTGTGTTGGTAGGGCCTGTGAGCTAAGGATGGTTTTTTACATTTTTAAATGGTTACATTTTGAATTGTTCTTTAAGTGCCTACATCATATCTTTGATTTTGCCTCTGGGACTGCAAAACCTAAACTATTTACTATGTAGTCCTTTATGGAAGAGTTTGCTGACCCCTTGGTGAACTCAGAATGAGCCCTGTGTCCTTTAGGCATTAAGTAACGTACAAAAGGGGATTCATTTAAGCATTGGTTCTCCCCACACAGTTGAGGCTATGTCAGGGGTCGCCAGGCTTGATTCTACTAATTTTAACGCTCAAGTGGGACAGTAGCTCTGATTTTGCATGGGGGAGTGCACACGCATGATATTCCTGCTGCTGTGGTTGAATGGTAGTCCTGGTTGCAGGGAGAGGCTTTCTTTGTTTCCCAACAAGTGCAAAGGGGATGGAGGGAGGAGGGGGACATGAAGCCGAGGCTTATCCTCAGCGTTTATTATATGTCCTGAAGGGCTTCCTTCATTCCACAAATCTAACAACCCAAGTTCATCTTATTCCCAGTGTTTTATTCTTTTTAAAACTAAGGCTAAAGTCTGGGCGTGGTGACTCATGCCTGTAATCCCAGCACTTTCGGAGACTGAGGCAGGTGGATCACTTGAGGTCATGAGTTCGAGACCAGCCTGACCAAAACATGGTGAAACCCCTTGTCTACTACAAATACAAAAAATTAGCCAGGCATGGTGGTGGGCGCCTATAACCTCAGCTACCTGGGAGGCTGAGGCAGGAGAATTGCTTGAACCCAGGAGGCAGAAGTTGTAGTGAGCTGAGATCATGCCATTTTACTCCAGCCTGGGAGACAGAGCGAGACTCTGTCTCAAAAACAAACAAACAAACAAACAAACAAAAACAAAAAACTAAGGCCAAAGACTAAGGGCAAAGAACTCTAATAGTTGGAACAAAGTCTGCAGGA
Source organism: Homo sapiens (assembly GCF_000001405.40). Classification (NCBI taxonomy): domain Eukaryota; kingdom Metazoa; phylum Chordata; class Mammalia; order Primates; family Hominidae; genus Homo; species Homo sapiens. The sequence continues at coordinate 91,791,560 of NC_000015.10, read as the reverse complement.
ACCTAAGACACCAACCATACAAAGCCTGAATGGGGGTACTCTTTTCGTCTGGGACAAGCTGCAGGAGAAACATTGGACATAAATGGTTTCTGCTTATTTTGAATGGCAACAAGATTTTTTTTGGAATATTGAAACTAAAAAGCTACCTAGATTGCATAATAGAAAATTTCAGGTAAGCATGTGTTCCTTCACCAGTGTGTGACCTCTCCCATGGTCACACAATGTCAAAGACCTGACTGAAAATGAAATTGCATATTCCAGCATACGATTGTTTTGGTTTCCATAGTTTATCCTCTGCCAACCTGGCTGACCTTTCTCAGCTGGGGCTCAGGGGAAGGGAGTGGAGAATGAAAGGCAGTACTTTGTGAGATGTGATATTTTGGGGTCTGGTCCTTCATTTTGCACGCTCAGAAACATGATTTCTCTTTCCATGCAAGCCTGATCAGGCTCTTGGGCAATGACTCACAGTAATTCAACTGGAAAGGAACTGATTTGTAAACCAGATGCCAGTTGGTTACTTCGCACTGGGAGAAGGACTTGTCATAAGACCCAGGGCTTGCTGATTCCTGCTGGTAGAAGAGCTCTTTCCCTCTGTGTGGGGGAATTGGCACGGGAGGCCAAATTGAAGTTGTTAGCAAGCTTTGCAATGAACTTAGAGACAAAAGTGCAAACATCACACTTGAATAGTCCTTTGGAATATTTCTACCTGAAGAACTTGGATTTATCTGGACCGAGGTCAGCAAACTATGGCCTGTAGACTAGCCACTTGTTTTTGTAAATGAAATTTTATTGAAACACAGCCATGCCCATTCATGCATGCGTTGAATACAGCTTCCTTCTACAACAGAGACCCTGTGATCCACACAGCCTAAGAGATGGGCTCTCTGGTCCTTTACAGGGGTCTGCAAACCCCTAATCTAGACAAGTAGTTTTCAAGCTATAGTTGTGACCTGTTAGTAGTTTTAAAATCAATTTTGGCCAACGTGGTGAAACCCCGTCTCTGCTAAAAATACAAAAACTAGCCAGGCATGGGGGCATGCACCTGTAGTCCCAGCTACTCCCAAGGAGGCTGAAGAGGGAGAATTGCTTGAATCTGGGAGGCAGAGATTGCAGTGAGTTGAGATCTCACCACTGCACTCAAGCCTGGGTGACAGAGTAAGACTCCGTCTCAAAAAAAAATAAAAAATTCAATTTAAAGACTTATAACTAGCATTTTATTTTAAGAGGAATAAAAAAGCATACAAAACATCAGAGTCCATTTTTTTCAAGGTAAGTATTATTTCATGAAACCTTTTTTTGTATGTATATCCACAGACATAGATATATGGGCCCTGGCTCACAATGTAAAATATGCTTTTCTTTGAGAGTGACACTTACCTAGCAAGAATCCTCTTTCCTCAGACAATTCTGAGAAGCACCAAACAAATCTAACTTTCAGACTCCCCTTTTTCCTACCATTATGATTCATAATTTATGATAATAATATTGATAGCACATCATCATTTTCAAATGTCTTCCTTACAAAATCCCCATGAAATTTTCACACCAAACTTGGGAAAAAGAACCTTGTTATCCGTGGTTTAGAGTTCGGAAAGCCAAGGCTCCTGGAGTTTTGCTGCCTTGGCCAAGACTGCAATTATCATGGACAAGGCCTATCCTGAAACCCATGTCTTCTGTCTTGTTGTCTGGTGCCTTTCCTAACATGTGCTGTCTTTCTAGAGTCTAAGAAACTCCTTCCTGTCTGATAATGCCTCCAAAAGTTTTAGGATTTTCAGGATTATCTTTATATTCTGTTTTATACTGAAAGCTTTGGGATAAAATGTCCTGGAGATGCCTGTCTCCAAAACCATCTCTATAACGCTCTCTAGAAGGCTGATACATGGTAGCATTACAGTCCCCCTCACCATCCCTCTGTGAGTCACCAAGGACTTACAAGGAAAAGGACCACCCATTAAGTGGCAAGACAGGAAAGTGGAGTGACAATGACCCCCCCCAGGCACCATTTTTCCTCCGCCCTCCCCTCTCTTCCCAGGGTGGAAGAAACAAATTATAAAATTATCTGGCATGGAGGAGCCATGGATTATTGAGGTATTGGGGAGATTCATTTTGGGGACTGGAAAATTTCTCTGCCCCTGGTGAAGTATGGGTACCTGGGAAGAAGCAGTGTGAGTCAGCTTCAGGCTCAGCCGCTGACCTTGGTGGCTCACACTGTGCTGGTCCACATGAACTCAATTCAGCCCGCACAGCTCACGTGACAGCTGGATTGAGAAAAGCTGGTGGCCTGTGCAAAGCTCACAGGCAGCAGGGGCAGAGTTAGGATTCAAACACAGGCAATCGGACTCCCCAGCTCACATTTTTAACCACCCTGGGCATTGCCTGTTTTCGAATGCAGAGAATGAAAAAGCTCTTGAGACTCTGTTTTTTCAGGTCACACAGTCCAACTCACCCAAGGAGGGAACTGAGGCTGGGGTGAAGCCTACTCAGGAATCAGGCCCATGGTTGGCTGGACCCACCTCCAGGCTGCCAGGGTGTGGACAGCAGGACGGCTGAAGAACAGCAGGAGAGAGGAACCATTTGCTAAAGATGTTCAGATGGACGGGAGGACAGAATAACAGCACAGAGACAGAGCCTCACTCCATCTTTGGAGAAATAGACATGAGGGTTCAGCCCTTCCTGCTGTCACTTCGAAACTCAGAGGAAGACATCTGTTTTGGTGACTTTGTCCATTCAGGCAGCTATAAAAAAATGCCTTAAATTAGGTAATTTATAAACAACATACATTTACTCCTCTCAGTTCCGGAGGCTGGAAAACCCAGGATCAAGGTGCTGGCAGATTTGGTGTCTGGTGAAGGCCCACATTTTGGTTCATAAATGGCACCTTCTCACTGTGTCTTTTACGTGGCAGAAGGTGGAGAACAAGCTCCCTGGAGGCTTTTTTTTAAAGTTCCCAGGTACATGTGCAGGACATGTGGGTTTATTACATAGGTAAATGTGTGCCATGCTGGCCTGATGCACCTATTAATCCCTCAGCTAGGTAATAAGCCCTGCATGCATTATTTATCCTGATGCTCTCCCTCCCGCCATACCCCAACAGACCCCAGTGTGTGATGTTCCCCTCCCTGTGTCCATGTGTTTTCATCGTTCAGCTCCCACTTGTAAGTGGAACATGTGTTGTTTGATTTCTGTTCCTGTGTGAGTTTGCTGAGGATAGTGGCTTAAGTGTGGTACATATACACCATGGGGCCTTTTAATAAGGGCATTAAGTGCTCCCATGACCTAATCAACTCCCAGAAGCCCCCCAGCTCTTAATACTATTGGATTGGGGATTAGATATCAACATGACTTTCGGGGGGTGGAGGGAAGTGGGGGGAGCATAAACATTCAGGCCACTATGAAGATGATGGTGTAAAGTCAACATTCCTGCCTTTTCTTCCTGAAAGTCAACAGAAACAAATAAGAGAACAGAGCTAAAAATACCAGCTCCATTTTCAGCACCAGGACCACCTAATGGCTTGGCAACTGACAGATACTGGGGAGCACAGGAATATTCCCTGAGCACAGGATTCTGTTTCAAGTTAAATAGATATTGGCAAATAGTGTAACCTGCAGGGAACCAAACAGACACCCTATCTCAAAAAAAAAAAAAAAAAGAAAAAGAAGAATAGAGTAAATAATTATTTTAAAAAAATTTCTTGTGACTCTAGTTCAAAGCTGATATAGGGACCCAAATAGTAAATGTGTCACCCACCCATCCATTCCTCATCCATTCATCCAACTAACAAAGTGTGCACCAAAAGCTACAGAAGACAGGCGCTGGGGACACAGAGATGAATAAGACAAACTCCACCTGCACAAAAACTCACAGTCCTGCACAGGAGAAAGACAGGTGCATGAATAATGACGATGAAACTCCATTAGTGATATGATCTAGTTAACAGCCAATTACGTCAGAAGAGCGGGGTGTCGATGTTATCCCCAAGGCATGGCAGGTGTTTCTTACCTCCATGGAGGCACAGAGCTGCATGTGGCATTCTTTCTTTTATTTGAGGGCTGAAGCAAACCCTCAAGGACCTTGTTAGTTCTGTCAAAGGGCTGTGTTCTGTTTCTTTCTCATGGCAACCAGGTGAACTGGGGCTGCTGGTCCATCCCAGTCAGTGCTAAGTTCAGGAACTGGTGACTAAGGAACTCTAGGGAAGCTCTTACCGGCAGGTGTGTTTACGATACAAGACAAGCGATGTTAACTCAGTTGAGCAATGAGAATTCCTTAGTGACGAGGGACTGGGAGTTAATGCTGGAACCAAATACTCATTACACCTGCAATTAATTTGGGATTGAGGTGTGTGTGTGTACGTGTGTACGTGTGTGTGTGTGAGAGAGAGAACACGTGCATACTCAGGTATATAGTGACATAGTGTGTAGGGTCTGGATATATAATATGTGCATAAATATATTTTATGGAGATGTGTCTGAGCTTCAGTCAGCCCATTAGCAAATATAATTGTGTACACTCAAAATAGTTTTTAAAAAGCAAAGATTTCATTCTGAAAAATAATTTTCATTAAAATTTGGAAATTCAAAGAAGGAATGCTGTATATAGCTGTCATTTACTAAGGGCATACAACAATCCAGACTTGTTTCACACTCACATCTTTGTGGAATAGGCTAGTCTCATTATGAAGATAAACAGATCTTTAAAAAGGTTAAGTTTAGTACTTTGCCCACACAGCTAGTCATTACCAAAGGTGCTCTTCGAGCTCAGTTTGCCTGATTTGAGGGTCATTTTCTTTGACATTATGCTGCTTCATGCTATTGAGGAGAGAGAACTTAGCCAAAGGATGCAATTTCCTAGGGCTTTAGAATTCTACTACCTGGAATAGGTAGACCACGGAGGCCTTGCAGAATGGATCTGAGTAAGTTTGTCCTCAAAGAAGGGCTGACTTGCATTAAGCATCCCTATATTCAGCCAGACAACAGTGTCCACAAAGACTAAGCACCTTGTGTGTCCCCCAGGTTGCCAGGCCAGCATTCAGGCCTCATAGAGTGGCACAGATGGGAGGATGAGTTAAAAAAATGACATCTCTGTTCTCAAGGTCCTCTTACAATTTAAAGACAGAGACAATTTCCAGAAAAGTTCCTATGAAAATACATATCCAAGAACTCGTAGATTCACAAGGTAGAAGAAAAATCCTCTCTAGAATTCATACTTAGAAAATAGACACGTAAGTTGGGATTATTGGTGTCCCAAATGATCACTTTGTTTAATAACAATTTCCTACCTGATCATCGTAAGATTCTCTAGTATTTTTCAAATATGATCAGAAGGACAGATTGGTTTTTCATCCCCTATTTCAGGAGTATTGCTGTTTGATATCACAAAGCGCACTTTGGTAAAGAGAGACCTGCTAACTCTAGTCACCCAGTCTTGCATGCTTAGCGGAATGGGGATTCAACAATGATGTCAAGATAGAGAGATCTGATCTTGGACTACTTCATGGTAGAGGGGATTGTGGCCAGCAATTGTCAGGAGAAGAGCATATTTCACTGGAAAAGCAGGGAGAGTGGGGGATAGCATTTTGAGGTCTAACATAGACATGAAGGATGCTAAGGAGCATTGACTTCTGGATTGGAATGGACCAGCTGGAGAGGACAGAAGGGGCACATGTCATGTAGAGGAGGGTCACCCCAGACCTGAAGCTCAGTCCTACAGCCCACGCCTCCTGGTCCTTCATAATTTTTACGGCAAAGCTCCCAAGTTCTTGGAAGTCTCACCAAATCAACTTAGGCACCCTGCTCTTTCCTCCCTTTATCAGAAGTTCTCTTCTTTCTTTCCTGTTACACAAAGCTCTTTTTTGCTCCTCCACTGGGATTCTTAGCTGGATATTATAACTGTTCTAATTTGCATCCTATCTTCTCTACTAGATTATAAACTCCATGAGGGGGAATCTTGGTCTGCCTGGCTGACTCATCTCCTGTGATACCTAGCACAGAATCTGGCTTTTGTCTAAGAATACCCAGAGCAGAACATGACACACTGCATAGTCAGGTGGCACCAACTCTTAGTAGAAGGAAAGAATCACAGGTGCCCAAAAAAGGCTTTGGTGACTGAGTAATGTGCTGACTGACTGAATGTGGAGGGCGTTGGTCACCTTGTTGGTTTCTGTAAAATGTGGTCATATTCAAGCTTTGCCCCAGGCCTTGACAGGGTCAATGTCCTCACTTCTCCACAACTCTGCAGGTGTCTCAATCTGGTAACCTAAGATACCAGGGCCATTCCCCAGGGATCAGCCTTATCCAGGAATTGGGATATATGCTTAGCGCTTCAACATCAGGCCAGGCTTAGAATAGATCCCTCCCTAGTCCTGAGGCCCTGGTCCAGAGATGACTGAGTCATCTGCTAAGGTCTCTGCGCTGTCCTCCAGTTACCAAATAGATGGAGTTCCAGCCATGAACCAGTTTCTGTGGGCCTGCCCTGGCCCTCCCTGGAGCCCTTCTCTTGCTTTCTCGCATCTCTCTAAGTGCATCTGCTGCATCTCCTGGTTACTTGGCCCTTTCCTTGTAGTCCCTTGCCTCTGCCTGGGCACAGTCCCTTACCTAGGCATTGGATTTGGGCAGATGCCAACTCTGTTACAGGTGTCTGTTGGAGGCATTTTCTGACACATGCCAACCCTGGTGGCAGCTGTGATCAAGCTCAGATGCTAGCTGTGAAGGTCCTCGGTGTGCTCTCAAGCTGAGGGTGATGGTGTTGTACTAAACATTAATAAGAAAAGCCTAGAATCTTCCATGACCTCCAAATAGTGAGAATCTGGAACTTGCCATTCATCCTTCTCTAGAAGAGCAGCTCTTGTCCTGGCTCCATGTGCAGAAGCTGTACCTTTACTTGACCTGGGCCAACACTTGCCCCTGGTCCCCACATAGTGTCAAGGGAAAATCAACACTTTAGAGATCCCCTAAGCAGGGCTCAAGCTTCGATTTTGACATGTGACCTCAGAAGAGCTATGTGATCTCCTTGAGCCTCAGTCTCCTCGAGCCTCAGTCTCCTCAACTACAAGAATATGGATCTTCAGGCTGGGCACGGTGGCTCACGCCTGTAATCCCAGCACTTTGGGAGGCTGAGGCGGGCGGATCACGAGGTCAGGAGATTGAGACCATCCTGGCTAACATGGTGAAATCCCGTCTCTACTAAAAATACAAAAAAAAAAAAAAAAAAAATTAGCCGGGCGTGGTGGCAGGTGCCTGTAGTCCCAGCTACTCGGGAGGCTGAGGCAGGAGAATGGCATGAACCCAGGAGGCGGAGCTTGCAGTCAGCCGAGATCGCACCACTGCACTCCAGCCTGGGCGACAGAGCCAGACTCCATCTCAAAAAAAAAAAAAAAAAAAAAAAAAAAAAAAGAACATAGATCTTCATATCTACCCAAAGGGTGAGAGTAGCAATGAAATGATATATTCTGAATTTAGACTCTGGCACAGTGCTTGGCATGGAAAGTGCACAGCCCATGTTCCCCTCCCCTTTGCTTGCTCATCCCTGCACCATTTATGATGCAGTCAAATCCAAGATTTTCTAAAAAGCTTCCATCTGCCTAAAAATACATTCTTAACCATTCTAGAATTCTGTCCCTAGAGAGACTTTTGTGCTAGATTCACAAGCAGGGGCATTATCAAGAAAAGCTGAATTTTCTAACTAGAAGGTGTTCTCCTATTGGTAGCATATTGTCAGTATTTAATTTAGTGATGTAGCTGATTGGTAACCCCCATCCCTCAATGGTGAATGTTGGGGCAGGTGGGGGTATTTAGGGGCCAAGGCAGCCTTAGGCATGGGAAAGAGGAAGGTGGTGGCTATGGGAGAGGTGGCAAAGGTTTCAGGGTGGGAGGCAGGCCTCAGGGGGTGGACACACAATGCTACTCACTTTGACTCACCCTGCATGGTACCTTGACATGATGGGCAGGAGGAGAACAGAATCTTCAGATAGATGTCAACCCTGGCAGCTGCCCAGATCAAGCTGGAGTTCCCTGAAGATCCTCAGCATGCTCTTGAGGTTGGGGGATGGTGTCAATGCTAATCATTAATAATAAAAAGCCAGAATCTTCCATGAGCTCTAGAGAGTGAGAGTCTGTAACTTTGCTTTATTTTTAACACCAAGTTTCTCCCAGCCTCACTCTCCTCTCATATATAAAGATGACCGCAAGTGCAAAAATTTGATTCCACTAAAGTGGAAGAGAGCCAGAGAATTTCTAGCTGGTTGGATTTGGGAGTTTTTCCTGTTATTGCTACAATTAAATAGATATTGGCAAATAGTGTAACCTGCAGGGAACCAAACAGAGTGTGGAAGTGCCTGGTTGGTTATAATTAGAAATATACATCATTCTCCTTTCACCGAAGTGACAGAGAGTGGTATTTAAAGGGACAGTGAGGAATGGCAGATGAACAGCCTTGACTCAGCAACAGTTAAAAGCCACCTTACAAATTACCGTACATTTTGCAAGTGTAGTTAATATTCTTTCCCCCTCATTTTTAAGAATGCATCTTAGACTGGTTGAGGTGTTTCATAGCTGAATCTAGAGGCATGTAAGCACAAGATGTTTACATTTCAACAACAAACTACCTTTGTAAGTATACGGTCTTTTCATCTGCAGGTTGTATTGTGCCTGTGTGTATTGATGAGAATGATGATTATTCAGTCACTTAGGAAAACATGAAATAAATCTATTTAAAACCCCGACATATAAAAAGTCCTGCTCATTTTCCTGGCTCTGATGAAGGCAATAGGAATGTAATTTTCTTATCTGTAAAAAACGGGGCCCAACTCCATTGTATTAGACAAACATTGATTACGCGCCAACTTAGTGCTGGGCCCCCTTACTAAGAGGGTGGGGAAGAGGGCAGAGGGCTGAGGGCTGAGAGGAAGAGGGGAGAAGAACTAGGCAGTGTAGCCTAATGGTTTAGTGCATGAACTTTGCGGTCTGATAGATTGGATTTGAAACTTCCTTCTGCTACTTCTTAACCTCGTGACCTCCAGCAAGCTACTTAACCTTGGTTTCCTTATGTGCAAAGTGAGAATAAAAACAATGCCTAGGTTTTTAGGGTAGTTGATATAAGATAATGCCAGTAACCATGAGGCAATAACGTTGGCATTGGGCCCATCTTGGCAAAAGTCCCACGTGGAGGTAAGTGTGCAAATAACACATTTCAATAGAATATAGTAAGTCATATGGTGGCACTATATTCTGTCACACGAGGGCCACTCTGAAGCTTATAATTAGGACCTAGTTTCCTGAAACTGGCATCTGGCTGAGTTCCAAAGGAAGAAGAAGAGCTCGTCAGATAAGAAGAGCATCAGAGATACTGAGGATAACTTGAGCAAAAGTGGAGAGGTATCAATCACCCTAAGGGAGCTAGGAGACAACCATTGATACTGCCCATAGCTCCTTCTGGGTGCTGTGAGGCTGACAACAGAGAACAGTGGACAGGGAACACATAGAGAGAGGCAGAGTGGGGCCAGGCAAGCAGCAAGTGATGAAGTGACACCAATCTAAGCAATTTCTCATTTGCTCATCAAGCACTCTGAAGGTCCAAAAGTTTTGATAGAGGGCAAAGCTGCACAAAAGAGACAAGAAGAAGGAGGCTTTGGCATTCTGAGTTTCCTGAGATGGAGCTGTGTTTATGATGCTCTGGGTGATCATGAATTTATACTGTCATGTGTTGGAGATTGGGACAAGTATGGCCACGGGGGTGTCTCAGCAGAGCTGTGCAGGGCCCTGACTGATGGCACTGTGTGAGAACACAAGAGGAAAGAGAAGACTATGCCCTCCTGGTCTGGAGACAGACATAGGCAGACACAGAACTGAGAGCCTGTCTTCGGTCTTCCTGGGTTGGGCAAGGGAAACTCAGCACAGCTCATCTTCCTAGGCAGCAAAGGGAGAATGGCATTGTGAATTAAGGGCAGTTTCTAGATGGTGGCTTATTCTGTGTTTGTGGACAGATAGAATGACCTTCAGGCCCAAAGACATGCTGTGTGAGGGGTCACTGGGCCAGAAAGGAGTGGATACATGACTGATCTTGAGCCTTGGTCCCCCAGTGGCTCATTAGCTGGATCGCAGCTGAGAAGAAAGGAGGCTGTAGCAGAATTATTATATCACTGATCTTAAGGTATCAGAAATTCTCAAAGGAAAGAAGCTGTAGAGGTACACATAAGGGAATACTTCATACTTTCTAGGTAAATATTTGAATGAAAAGTTACAGAAATATTAAATGATATGCATAGGCATTATAAAATCACTGAAAATAAAATAAGTTGAATGAAGAGCAATGCATGGCAGTGTCCTTTTGGTGAGGATGAGTCAAAATGGGAAAGTAAAGGAACGGTGGTATGCAGCCTTGAAGCGAGGCCCCCAGTGCACCCTGCCTTCTGGGCCTCATATCCTTGTGTAGTTCCCTCCCCATGAGTGCGGGCCAGACCTCCCTGCTTCTAATGAGTAGCATATGGCAAAAGGGAGAGGATGTCACTTCTGAGCCTAGATTATAAAAGATCATGACTTCCATCTTTCTCTCTCTCTCTCTCTCTCTGTGTGTGTTTTGCATTCTTAGTTTGCTTACTTTAATGAAGCCCACTGCCATGCTGCAGAGGCCCACGTGGCAAGGAACACAGGACAGCCTCCATCCATCAGCCACTGGGGAACTGAGGCCCCCATTCCAACAGCCCACAAGGAGCTTGAATCCTGTTAACAACCACGTGAGTGAGTTTGGAAGCAGATCCTTCCCCAGTCAGGTCTTAAGATGACTCGCCCTCGTCGACACCTTGGTTGTAGCCTGTGGGATCCTAAGCCAGAAGATCCAGCAATGTTGCACCCAGATTCCTGATTTACCAGAAGTGTGAGATAACTAATGCATACTGTTATAAGCTGCTGTGTTTGGGCTAATTGGTTGTACAGCCATAGATAACTAATACAGGAACTAACATCAACTGAGCAGTGCTCTGATGCAGCCTTTTACAGTTTATCTTATTTAGTTCCCTATTTTACTTCTGGGAAAACTGTTTGTTTAAGAATACAGGATGTTTAAGAAATTTGCCTGGGGTCAGCCAGCCAGAAAGTAGCAGACAAAGTTTCAACCAGGATCCACTGGCTCCCAATGTGTGTGCCAAGTCTATGATACCAGGTCAAAAGGAAAGAATTCCCCCAAATTAAAGCTTGTCTGGGGGAAACTCAGGAAACCCTTAGATATGGGTAAACTAAAAAGGCTACCTGCCCCCAAATACCTTTCCTGCTTCTTTTTCAATGCCCTGGGTCCCGGCTTTGGGTTAAAGACTCAGACGGCTGACTGCATGCAAATGCACCACCTCATCTTCCCCTTGGTAGGACGCAGGTCCCCAAGGAGATGGTAAGCAGGGGAGCTCTGAATGGGGCAAGGGTGGGAAGGGAGCACAGGCAATGTGAAGCACTGGCTTAAAGGCCAGGCACAGGTGGGGTGTCAAGGTCAGGGGAGAGGATCTTCGGGCAGGGCAGGGCAGTTTTGAAGATATCGGGCACTTCTAGGGCAGAGTGGGTGGTGTGCTTGGGTGCTTTCTTACTTGGAGGAGTAAGGAGGCAGCTGAAAGGAATTGGGGGACAGGGAACCAGGGACAAACTCTGTCCCTATTTAACCTCTGGTCGGCACTCTGAAAACAAAAAGATGTGAAGGTTTTCTCTGTGAGACTAAAGCAGTCTCCGCTTGTCTATGATTTCGCTTTTCAAGGTTTCAGTTTCCCAGGGTCAAACTTGAAATATTAAATGGAAAATTCCAGAAATAAACATTCACATAACTTTTATTACAGTATGTTGTTATAATTGTTCTATTTTATTATTGTTATCCTCTTACTGTACCTAATTTATAAATGAAACATTATAGGTATGTATATATAGGAAGAAAGATTAATATACATATACATACACACACACACACACACACACACACACACACACACACACACACACAGATGGTTCTGTACTAACTTTGGTTTCTGGCATCCACTGGGGGTCTTGTGATATATCCCCCATGGATAAGGAAAGTCCTCCTGAAATGCCATTGTCAAGTCTAAGGACTCACTCATCCATATATTGTGTAGGAATTACACACAGGATCTAAATATTCAAAGGGATCCTGCCCTCAAAAGAAACAAGATTTCCAACGGGGATTTTCATTTCATTGCATTCTTCTCTGCATTGATTCTGGAGTCCCAGGTAAAACAAAGCAGGTAGAAAGCAAAGAAAGGCTGCTTAAGGGCATGCTAGGGTGCTGTTGGGGGCACAAGCTGCTAGCTGCAAAGATCTACCATTTAATTTAGTCTCAGGCTGGTGCAAGGATTAACTCTAAAAAACCCGTGCAGCCTCAAACTGAACCTGCCAGTAAAGGGAGCCTACAACATTTTTCGTGCTTCATTATTATAAAATATTTGACACACAGAGATATGCATAAAGAATACTAACGACAGCAATAATAAAACTATGTACCCACCACCTAGCTTTGTTAAACTGTACTATTTTTCCATATATGTATATTGTAAAACACATATGTTGTAGATTTTTATCAAGAAATAAAATAGCACAGTTAAAGCTGAAGCTCCCTTTGTAACTGCTCTAAAGCCATTTTTCACTTTGTCCCCCAAAATAACTACCGTCTTAATGTTGAGGATATCGTTCCCAGGCAGATTTTTATTTTTTAAAAAACTGTTTTAATGTTTTATTTTTTTGAGACAAGGTCTTGCTGTGTCACCCAGGCTGAAGTGCAGTGGCACAAACACAGCTGACTGCAGCCTCAACCTCCTGTGCCCAAGCGATCCTCCCACCTCCGCCCCTCAAGTAGCTGGAACTACAGGTGCACCCATGCAGATTTTTTCACTTTTACTACATAGACATGTGTCTATCAACCATATATAACTTAGTTTGCAGAGTTTTAAGCTTCATATTAAGGATGTCATGTTGTATGTAACCTTTTGTTATTTGCTTTATTTTTATTTTAAAAAATTTTGTAAATTTGTATTGAAATTTTCCACATAGGTAAATGTAGCTCTAGTTCATTCATTTTAGCTCCTTTCCATTTTGCTTACTTTCCATCTTATAAAAATTTTACACCTTTTTAGTAATTAATTCTCCTGTTGATAAGCATATAGATTTTCATTTCTTTTTTTCTCTCTTAAAAAATTCTTTTCATTTCTGCTACTACACACAATGCAATAATGACATTTTTTCTGCATGGCTCCTGGCATACATGAGTGAGTTTCTCTATGAAAAGGTAGAAGTGCTGAGTTGTAGAAGATGCATGTTTTCAGATTATGACATATTATAAAAGTGCTTTTCAAAGTTATCCCAACAATTTACACTCCTACTCACAATGGCTGGGTGTTCCCTTCATCCCTGGTTCCCCAATCTTTCTCTGCATGATGTGGTTTCCCGATGCAAGCCCCACTGTGGTTGTTTCCCTCTGGTTACTCTCTGATGGGTCAAGCTCCTACCTAACTAGCACTCAGGACTGAATGAGATGAATTTGGATATGATTCCACCCCTAAAAAGCTTGTTGGAACTCTCTCTTAAGTTTGGCAACAAATTTCTTCTGAATTTTCTCTCAATAGATAATACCTAATTGTAAGCAACCACCTCCTCTGTGGCTCACACTGTCCATCTTCTCACTGGTTCATTAAAGCACCAGTAGCCTGGGGGCTCATAAAAATAGTTCTACAAATCTGTGCCATTAATTCCTTACCTTCTTTAAAATTGAGAGCTTTCTGAAAGTCAAATGAGAGCAGTAGACACACACACACACACACACACACACACACAGTTGCATCATTTCGCATGCAATTCCAGAAGGCTCACTGACATCTGAAGCAAATCTGTAGATCTCAGGTTAATCCTGCACTGAACCGTGTTGGAGAAGAATTTGCCCTATTGAAGTGCACCTAAACTTGGGACTATCGGGAAAACGTTCCAATGTCCTAAAGGTTTATAGGAATTTTACTGAATCTTAATATGTTTTTAGGGTTGTTAGTATTGTTTTAAGATCAAACTCCAACTGTACTCATGATGCAGCAGGGTAGAATGGAGAGTTTAGATTCTGCCATTTCTTGTTGGGATGAGATACGTAACCTCTACTAGCCTCAGTTTCATTATCTCACAAATGGACTCATGTCTCACAGGACTCTTGTGTGAATTAATCAAATCTATCCTAGTGTTTGAAATGTGGCAAATATTTAATAAATGCTGGCTTTTTTTTCCCTACCTTAGCCCTTTGAAACTTGGCTAGCAGATCTATACAAAGAAGCTGAAGTTAGTATTTCCCTGGGCTGGTGCAGTTTTATTGAAATTGCATAGGTAATGTTTCACTGTAGTTCACTCTGTAGTGCAGAGTAAACATGTTAATTTCCTCAAAACCAATTTTTAGAGGCTATGTTTTGGGGGGGCAAGCCAAAATTTAATTTTGTTTATTTTCTATATTTGCTCAACTAAGTTTCTGTACTAACAGGAACTTTAAGCTCTTCCATCACCACTGGCCCCAGGACATCTTGCTGGGATCCCTTGCCTTCTCTCCCCACCAGGCTGCACCTGCCTTTAATGATCACAAACACCTGCTCAGCCTAGTTGGGCCATGCGCATGCAGAAGAATTATTATCCAGGGCGCTCCCTGGAGGTTTGGGGAAGCTCCTGATTTCCCACATGTCTTTCAAAGGCAAAGATTGTTTTAGACACCTATAAAAATAATAGCCATGAATTATTCATAGATAAATATTAATGCTGCATCCATATTGAATCCAAGCACAAATCAAATGGCTTTATCTCCATAAGGTCCCAAATAGATTTAATAGAAATTTCTTCCCATTATATATTATTTACTCTTGATATCTAACAAAAATTCACACCAGTGAATGTAATGCTTTTGACACCTTTCACTTAGAAACATTAGAAAAAATGTTTCGAGAAAGATTTGAGTTATTGCTAAACCTGTTCCAATTCTTTGTTGCCCTTGAAATTCCAACAAGAATTGCTTTTCTGAAGAAGAGAATTTCCATTTTGAAGACATGTATCTATAATGAGAAATCCCCCTGCCTCCAACCACCCACCCAGAACATCTGAAAACGTCAGGGCTAAAAAGGACCTCAGAAGTTAGCCGTCCCAAGCCCTTCATTTTCCAGGGGCCCAGAGAGGTGCCGTGATGGGCTCCAGATCACTCAGGGAGCCCGTGATAATTAAGAAACAAGATCATGTGCCAACAGGTGCTATATGGCTACTGGTGCAACAGGCTGGAGAGAGAAAAATGAAGTCTAAGCTGCTTCTTTTATGTGTCACAGTACCAAACAGCAAGATTTATTTGCAATGAAAATGTGAATAACACACAAAAGCTGTGTCATGCCAAACTGAAAATTTCAGGTCAAGTATTTCAAAACATAAGCTGCTTCTTTTATGTGTCACAGTACCAAACAGCAAGATTTATTTGCAATGAAAATGTGAATAACACACAAAAGCTGTGTCATGCCAAACAGAAAATTTCAGGTCAAGTATTTCAAAACAACAAGCATGCAAAAAGCAAAAGGCACTGCCATACCTTCCTCTGTATTGAATTCAGCCAAGCTCATCTGTGAGATAACTAAGTAAGCAAGAGCTAGCTGGAACAAGCACACACCACCAAAGAGAAAGACAGAAAGGAAGAAAGCAGGTATAGACATGAGCGGAATTGTTGATTTGTTGATTTTTCAGTGGCTTCTGTTATTTTTTATGTAATTGTAATAACTAGAGAGGTCTTTTATTACACTTCCACCATGTCATTTTAGTGGAGAGAGATAAGATTTTCCGTCTTACTGACTTAGGTAGGCCTATGGGAAATCTGCCATCCACATAAACATATTAGTGACATTAATAGTAAAAACACTACTGTTCATTCAGCCTGGAAGAATGTGTATCTTTCTATGAGGCCAATGACATTCTAAGCATCATTGACTCATTGTTCTCTTTATAAATCTCAGGAGGAGGAGGACATGGTCCCTACCCCAGAGGATTTAAATATTCAGTTTGCAGATGATATAAACCTGGAAGGGAAGTGAATGCAACATATGACAAAATCAAGATGCTGAATGATTTTGATGGGCTAGATTCTGAACCAAAATTAAATAGAGATATAAAAATAAATGAAGTCCTGTCCTTGGGTATAAAAAGAAAAATAATTGCGTAGTACAGGATAGGGAAGACCTGACTTGTAGAAAAGATCTTAGGGGATATATTAATTTGCTAGAGCTGCTGTGACCAAGTAACACGAACTGAGTGGCTTAAACAACAGAAATTTGTTGTCTTACAGCTCTGGAGGCTAGAAGTCTGAGATCAAGGTGAGGGCAAGGGTGGTTCCTCTGAGGGCTGTGTGTAAGAATCCGCTCCAGGCGTCTTCCCTAGCTTCTTATGGTTTGCTGTCAATCTTTGGCATTTATTGGCTTGTGGAAGCATCCCTCCCTATCTCTTCCTTTATTACCACATGGTGTTTTCTCTGTGTGTTTCCAAATTTTTCCTTGTGATTAGGACACTAGTCATATCAAATGAGGATCCACCCAAATGACCTCCTCATAACTAGTGACATCTGCAGTGACCCTGTTTCCCAACAAGTTCACATCTGAGGTACTGGGGTTAGGACTCGAATATATAAACTGAATAAGGGGAGGATACACAATTCAGCCTGTAACAGGGGGCTTTCAAGGTCTAAATCATAGCTTAGGTGATATTGATAGTCTAATTAATTACACTAAGTCCAGCATAATCTTTGACTATATTTATGAAAGTGTGGTTTACAAATTCCAGCAGGAATGGTCCCACTGGACTTCATACCCAGAGCATGGGATAGCATTTCCTGTTACATAATTAGATATGGACACACGAGGACATGCCATGTAGAAGATGTTGGAAAGAACTGGTGGTGTTTTGATCCCAAAACAAAGGGGAGTCAGCAAGGTGAAGAGTGGGGTAGAGAACCCATAAAGAGCAACCATAAAATGTCCTCACAACTTGGAAATAAGATCACTGTTAGAGTAAGAAGCGTAGAGAATGGGATTTGAGGCTGTAAAATGTAGGGATTAAGGACCCAGGTTTTGGAGGCAACTGCTTCAGTATGAGAGCTCACCGACACCTAATAGCTATGTGGGCAGATTATATCATCTCTCTGTGCTTTGATTTTCTTCCCTATAAAATGAGGATATTCATAGCACTGATCATATAATGGTGTTGTGAGAATTACATGAACTAATACAAGTAAAACGTTTAGAATGGTGCCTGACACATGGTACACTAGCTGCTATTATTATTACTACATTTATTCTGCTAATTTCTGCTATTATTCTGCTAATTTTTGCAGAAACTAGATTTGCAGAAACTAGACAGGTCAGGAAACAAAATCCAGGTGACTAGGGAAAGGAGATGGAGACAGACCATGAATGTCATCATTATAACAAAGAAAGCTGCTGCTTTCTCATTGAATGTAATATCTACACAAAGAAGGTGTTCACACATAGGAGAGAGTCTGCTTGGGTTTTAGGAAAAGTGTAGATATGTAGATATGAAACCAAAAACTTTTCCTAAAACCCATGAGAGTCTGCTTGGGTTTCAGGAAAAGTGTAGACATGAAGTGGGTTGGGGGCAATGGTCTCCCAGGACTTTCCAGGAGCAGAGTCATTAAACATGGCTGTCACTGGAGGTGAGCTCTATTGCAGCAGAGTCTCCATGGACTATTCCTAACATCTCTCACATTCCCTTTGTGATATAATATTTATATGGTTTTTTTTTGTTTGTTTTTGAGACGGAGCTCACTTTGTCGCCCAGGCTGGAGTGCAGTGGCACAATCTCGGCTCACTGCAAACTCCGTCTTCTGGGTGCAAGAGACTCTCCTGCCTCAGCCTCCCAAGTAGCTGGGATTACAGGCACGCGCCACCACGCCTGGCTAATTTTTGTATTTTTAGTAGAGACGGGGTTTTACCATGTTGGCCAGGCTGGTCTTGAACTCCTGACCTCAGGTGATCCACCTGCCTTGGCCTCTCAAAGTGCTGGAATTACTGGTGTGAGCCACTGCACTCAGCCCTATTTATATTGTCTTAACCATTTTTCAGTGTGCAGTTCCGTAGTGTTAAGTATATTCACCTTGTTGTACAACAGAATTTGTTTCATCTCGCAAAACTGAAACTGTGCATCCATTAAACAGCAGCTCCCCATTTTCCCCTCTCCCCAGACCCTGGCAAGCACCATTCTGCTTTCTGTCTCTATGCATTTGGCGACTCTAGGTGCCTCATGTAAGTGGAGTTATACATTATCTTTTTGTGACTGGCTTATTACACTTAGCAGCACGTCCTCAAGGCTCATCTATGTTGTAGCACGTGTCAAAAATTTCCTTTCTTTTCAAAGCTAAATCATATTCTGTTGTATATATATACCAGCAAACTCTTAACTGTTAATTTCGCCTGCTGGACACCATAAAATTTGCCTGATCTGGACAATGGAGAGACTGATGGAGCTATTCTGGTGACTGGAAAGGTGAAGGGGGTTACAGTTCACTTTATCTTGTCTTCCCTAGAAAACAGAGCGTGAAGAAAAGGCTTATGTGTTCTTACTAGGTAGAGAGGAAGCATTTCAGAGGATAAGGCAGAGAAGGAGACAGAGCCAATATGAGGATAACTTACTGAGTTAGTCACCACCAGATGCCACTGCTTACTGGATTTCGAGGGGCCAAGGGACCCAGACACAAAGGGACAGTACAGTCCTCTGAGACGTCTTATAGATGGGTCTCAGGACAGCGGAGAAGAGAAAGAGGGAAGGGTTTATCCTGAGTCCCGTCTTCCGTTGGTCAACGATTCACCCTTTGGTGATAACCCTGCCCCCCTCCCCCGCCCCCAAACACATATCAGAGTTTTGCACAGGTGGGCACTAAGAAGGATTTTGCAGCCCCCCCACCCCCACCCCCAGAGCCTGGCATACTCCAAGTCAATAGAAAAGCCCAGGATGGAGAGAAGCAGGCACAGGCAGCAGGAAGTTACTGCTAGGTTGTGCCTGCGTGAACTTAGTCAGGGGCCATGCAGAGCTGGTTGCCGCAGCAGTAGCTGGAACAAGAACAGTGAGGCCAAGAGTATCTGAAGAGCTTCAGGAGAAGCACCTGGCATAGAAGGTAAGGGAATGCAACTAACATGTACTGGGTCGCCACAATGCTCCAGGCACTTCACAGGTAATGGCTAATGTGACACTCACGCCAACTACAGATATTACCAAGGCTCAGAGAAGTTCACTAACTTGCACAAAATCACATCGTTATTCTGGCTAAGTTTGGAACCAGCTCAGATTCTAACCTAGTACTTTTATATTGAGAAACTGGAAACCTATTCTATCATCAGTCTTTTGTGAGTGTGTTTGAATTAACCTTGTCAGTTCTGGAATTCTAGGTCCCCTAGCTACATTGAGTTTCTGGAGAGACAAAGCTGAAGACAAGAATCTGGAATATAGTGACTTCATTGAGGAACGTTCCTGGATGGTTTATCTGTGATGTCTTCACCTTGTCTCTCTCGGTCAGTCTTAAAATATTTGCAGGTTGTCAGAAGACCTGTTTTGAGGGTGTAGATTACTGGGAGCAAATTTCAACTCTATATAAGGTGTCATAAACATAGGCTACCTAGGGAGGTGAAAACTGGGTGGACAAGCGCAGCACTAGTTTCCATGAACAGAAAGATCTTCTCACTGAGGTGTAACTATATGTTAAGCAGCAGAGGAAAACCATATTACTTTCTCTGGGCATGGAACTGATTGCCCTCACAAAAGATCTGAGTTGCTATGCCTCATGACCCTTTGATTTTTCATCCAACCCCCTTCTGTTTCATCGCTTCCACCCATTCTTTCTTCCTTCCTTTCACTTTTCTATCTTCCGATCTTTCATTTTTCCTCCTTTCTTACAAATTTCTTTCTGTTCATTCTTCTACCCTTATTTTCTGGTTATAGCTTTTTGTTTGCAAGCAACAGACACAAACTCTGGCAAACTTATGCAAAAGAGGATTTGGGTAAAGGATATTAGGAAGCACTAATAATTAGTAATAAGGTAAAAAAAAAAAAAACAGGCTTGGAAGCATAACTATCTGACACATTGGACCATCAGAAACTCTTCAGATGGAAAAAATGAAACCCAACAATGTAACAATGTTTTTCTCTAACCTTATGTCACTTTAAACAGGAAACAAAGTCCTAGGAGAGTATAACCAGTTGACCAGCTTGGGTTGCATGCTCTACGCTCTTGGCTGTATAGTGTAAAAGAAAGGATCTAGTGGAAAGTCTTTGCAGGGACCTCTCAGGTTTATGGTGGAAATACAGGTCATTTTCACAGCACCCAGTGTAGGGGTTTGGGGAGGTAAAGCCCCAAAGGAAATCAAGGTACACTTATGAAAAGGAATGGATGATCAATGGCAAAAAAAATCATAAAAATTATTTTGTATGTTTTTTCTGCACTTTCCCCATTTCTACTTTACCTTGCAACAGGAAGGCCTTAAGATGGCTCCCATGATCAGCTGCTTCTGGTGCAGGTCTGAAGCTGTTGTGTTATGACATTTCCTTCCAAATGATAATATATCATATCGTATAGCGCCTTGCAATCTATCCTGTACTTGAAGGTTCGTTATCTCATTGCATGCTTACATTGACTCTGTGTTATGGACTGAACGGTGTCCTCCACCCCAACCAAATTAATATGTTGAAGTCCTAACCTCCAGTACTTCAGCATGTAACTCTACTTGGAGATAGGACATTCACAGAAGTGATTAAGCTGAAATGAGGCATGACATCGGGCCCTCTCTAATTCAATCTGACTGGTGTCTTTATAAGAAGAGGAAATTTGAAGACACAAAAGATGCAAGGAATGCCTACCTAGAGGAAAGACTATTGAGAACACAGGGGAAAGGCAATCATCTACAAGCCAAGAAGGGTGGCCTCAGAAGAAACTACACTTTCTGACACCTGATCTTGGATTTCTAGCCTCCAGCACTGTGAGAAAATAGATTCTCAGTCGGTGGCATTTTGTTATGGCAGCCCTAGCTGACTAGTACACTCATACACTAATACACTATGACCACTATTACTCAGGTAAGGACACCACAGATCAGAGAGGTCATGGTATTTGTCAAAGTCCCACAGCAAATAAATAGCATAAAAATCATATCCTTTTGTTCCAATCCAGTATCCTCTCTGCTACATCATCCTATTTCATTATGTCCTGCTGCAATCTTCTGCTGCAGGAGACCAACCCTGCCCTGACAAATCTGTGTCCTTCCGTGTGAAACCCTAAGCTCATGGCAGAGTGAAAAGAGCTTGTGGCCTCTGGTTGGCTGTACGCTGTTCATGGCATCACCGTCCATAACTGTCAGTCTGGTGCATTCCTTTCCAAATGCACTTCCTCTTCTTCAGTCTCTCTAGTGCTGATAAAATAAGACATGCCTTGAACTCAGGGACTGCTGCTGACAAATCAGCAGAACAGCTGGCGTGATAGTCACTCTCAGTATTGCCTCTCTCGCCGCGTGTGTGCAATATGGAGCTTTAAGTGAATTACATTTGTTCCTGATTTAATTAAGGAATCTTATTTCAATAGCGATTAGCCATCTTGTAGAGAAAAGTCATAATAAATTTGGTGATGCCTCTATCAAGATTATATGCAACAAATAGTAATTTTATATTTAAAGAGGGCTTTGCTTATCCCAAAGGATACTGGGTTGATAGTGCAAGTCATATTACGTTTGGTATCTTATCCTTAGCAGTTTAACCTCTTGCTCCCATTCAAGTTTTGGCTGGGGTGGGGCATTTGTATTTTATTTACAAATAAGAAACTCTTTTAGAGGGAGCTTTGAGATACCAGCTGATGTAACAAATCTTATGGCACCTCATTATCTACTTGTGTATCGAACATCTCTCTGTGGCTTTGACCTCTGTTGCAGCCAATTCTTTCTTCGTAACTAGCTAGCTCAAAGAAAATGCACTTTGCCTAATTCTGAAAGCTTGTATTTCAGAGTATAAAGCATTCCAGATGGATTGCTTCTCAGATTTACCATGATGTGTGATAACATACCCAGCAGGATTATTTATCATTGCACATGTATGGTCCTGAAATAGCCTGGCCTCAGAGGGCGCCATGTTGTATTTGCACAGATGCCGTGCTTGGGACTCTAGCCCCACCAGAGCACAGAATTGCTGAGATATACTTTGGAATGTGCTGAAAAATTCTTAGCACAGTCATATTTTTCTTTCTTCCAGGGCAATGCCTTGCACTTACTGCTTTTCAACCAATAAACGATGCTCTTTGATTCTGATATGATGGAGGGCAAATTGCCCCTACAAGCAAGGATGTGTTGCCACCACCAAAGGAAATAGGAGTCTGAAGAGCACAAGTCAAAAAAACAAAGGCTGATCTGATGGAAAGGTGGGCATTTGTTTCAATTCAATAAAATAGCCTCTGTTTTCTCCATTTATACCTGCCACATACATAAGGCTTAATGGTACACTTAGCACAATTTAAACAAGAAGAAATTTTCGGGAGGACATTCATGGATTTTGATACTGAAACAGAAGAGCTTGTTTGCATAGAGTTTGATCTAGCTGCATATTCACAAAATACACAAAACAAATGTTGGAAAAATGTAAAATTGTCAAACTCCAGGTAATATAAATAAATCTTCACCAGGAATTTTGTTTAGTAGTGTTCTTTTTTTTTTTTTTTTTTTTTTTTTGAGACAGAGTCTCACTCTTTTGCCCAGGCTACAGTGCAGTGGCATGATCTCGGCTCACTGCAACCTGTGCCTCCCAGGTTCAAGCTATTCTCCTGCCTCAGCCTCCTGAGTAGCTGGGGTCACAGACGCCCGCCACCATGCCCAGCTAAGTTTTGTATTTTTAGTAGAGATGGGGTTTCACCATGTTGGCCAGGCTGGTCTCAAACTCCTGACCTCAGGTGATCCACCCGCCTCGGCCTTCTAAAGTGCTGGGATTACAGGTGTGAGCCACCATGCTTAGCCTCCTCTGTCTGTATAACTAACTCTCCGAAACCAAATTCCCAAAGTGAGTTTCGTGGTTTTCAAAGATTTTCATGAGTTAAATGTTTACATAAATACAAACAACTAACATTTTGTATTTAATCCCATTCCCATAACTGGGTGGGGGGAGCGTATAAAGAGATGAGAATTAACTCTGATGGTTCAATAATGCAGTAATACGTCACACTTATTGAAATATGAATTCTGAAAGATGTGGCAGGTGGGCTAGAGAAAGCCTCTTACATATAGTTAATGGTGCTTGAAACCACGCAGCTAGTGTAGAACTGTGTTCAAGAAAGAAGGGTTCCAAAGTAAAAGTATTGGGGAGAGGAGCTGGAGGAGACTTCTGTGGGCACTCGTGTTCAAGTAGTCAGAGACTGAGATTAACAAAAGCGAGAGACTGTAAACTTCAAGTGTGAGGATGTTTGCTAGGTAAACACAATAGAGAAGAACAGAGAGCTTTTGCCAAGTGTTCATGAGATCTGTGGGGGCTTTAGGAGTAAGTGGGGTGGTGCGTGAATGGGCCAAATTCCTTGATAAGAGCTCTTCCACACCCATGGGCCTCCTTCAAAGTGCAACATTTCAAGTTTTTTCAAAATAGTGTTTTTACACAAGTAGGTGAGCTAGAAAGAAATTTCAGGTAAATTAAAACAAGAAGATAAAATGAACCCAGAGTCAACCCTTATGCAAAAGTAAAGCATGGGCATGTGCATGCATGTGTAGTTGTTTTCAAAATGGAAACATATAATAATAACTCATGAACTCATGCACATCTTCACAGTTAGTGGATATATTTCCAAAACATAACTTTAGTTGTTGGGTAGTGTCCAATAATATGAAATGATTTATTTAACTAACTCCCTATCACTGGATATTAAACATGTTTCAAGCCTGTAATAAATAATGCTATACTGAAGAACTTTACAACTAAATCTTTGCTTTTTTCTCCTAGGAAAATTTTTTAAATGGAAATAATAGAACAAAGTTTATGTGCAATTTTAAATCTTTTGAATAACATTGCCAAATCATCCTTCAGAAATGTTGTATGAGCCAGGCACAGTGGCACACGCCTGTAATCCCAGCACTTTGGGAGGCCGAGGTGGGAGGATCACTTGAGGCCAGGAGTTTGAGACTGACCTGGACAACATAGTGAGACTCTGTCTCTAAACAATTTTTAAAAAATTAGCTGACCTTGGTAGTGCATGTCCCTGTGGTCCCAGCTACTTGGGAGGCTGCGGTAGGAGAATTGCTTGAATCTGGGAGGTTGGGGCTGCCATGTTCTGTGAGCCATGTTCGTGCCACTACGCACCAGCCTGGGCAACAGAGTGAGATCCTATCTCAAAAAAAAAAAAAAAAAAGAAAGAAAGAAAAAGAAAAAGAAATGTACTAAAGTTCACTCCGACCTATAATAGATGAGCACTCCTGTCTCCCAGATCTCTGCCAGGAATGAGTATTATAAATTTAAAAATCATTTTGGGAGGCAGAGGAGGGCAGATCGCTTGAGGCCAGGAGTTCAAGACCAGCCTGGCCAACATGGTGAAACTCCATCTCCATCAAAAATACAAAAATTAGCTAGGAGTGGTGGCACGCACCTGTAATCCCAGCTACTTGGGAGGCTGAGGCACGAGAATCACTTGAACCCAGGAGGCGGAGGTTGCAGTGAGCTGAGATCATGTCACTGCACTCCAGCCTGGGTGACAGAGTGAGAACCTTTTTCAAAAAAAAATTGTTGCAGATCATTTCCACTGAATTTGCTATTTCTATATTTGGAGAGGGACAATCCTACCAATCCCCTCCCTTCAACACACACACATAGAGCATCACATAGAGGCATGTCTAACTGTGACTACATCAATCCTACCTGTGAGCTACAATATATACAGGTGCAGTGGCACTGAACATGACCAGAGGGTTTGTTAATGAACCATTTTCGCACACACATGAGCACAAGAGTGGCAGGGCCTGAAGACCATTGACAGCAATTCATACGAGCCATTTCAACAAATCCTAGGCAATCAGAATGCTTACACTTCTCATTGACTTCTGTTTCTACCTAATGTGCATGAGCATTGTCAACAAATTGTTAGACCTTTCTTACCCACTCTGTGTGTGTGTGTGTGTGTGTGTGTTTGTGGATGATTTGCCTGGGGGAGGGGGAGGGCTTGGACAGAGTTACTGATGACAAAAATTCTAGAAAAGAGTCTGATGAAACCCCGTCTCTACTAAAAATCCAAAAAAAAAAAAAAAAAAAAAAAAAAAGAGCCAGGCGTGGTGTTGTGCACCTGTAGTCCCAGCTACTCTGGAGACTGAGGCAGGAGAATTGCTTGAAGCTGGGAGGTGGAGGTTGTGGTGAGCCAAGATTGTGCCACTGCATTCCAGCCTGAGTGACAAGAGTGAAACTCCATCTCAAAACAAAGATAAAAACAAACAAACAAACCAACAAAAAATAAATAAAAAAGAAAAGAAAAGAGTCCAAAATGTTGTAAAATCAGAGGAAGGTTAGAAGACCTTGGAAGTCAAGAGTCTGGGGTGAAGGGAAAAAGAAAAGAGAGAAGCTCTGGTAAACATTACCAGGGGTGGTAAATGTCCCATTCTTCTCTTGGGCACCTGCACTTCCCAGTTCTTTTCATGAGATGGAATCATGTGACTGTTCTGGCCAATGAGCTGTGAGTGAAAGTAGTGTTTGCCACTTCTGGGGTGTAGATTTTAAATTGCCAAAGGGCAGGACCTTCATTCGCTCTCTTGTCCTGCCATGGTGGCATGGAGGACCCAGACTCTCAGTCCAGGCTGGAGCATCAGTCCACCTGGGTCCCTGGGCATCCAAAGGAGCAGAACTCGCTGCCTGTCGATGCTGGTCATCTAGGTTGGTATGAGTAAGAAGCAGACCACCATTGTGGTAAGCCACTGAGATCTAGGGGTTGAGTTTTCGCAGTTTAACTTAGTCTAGTTCAATTAATACAGAAGCATCAACTAATTCATTCCAAACAAAAGTCATGAGGAGTGAGGGGAAGAAGACTGAAAAGTAATTGCCCAGAATCTTTTTGTAGTCTTGGATCCACCTGCTCAACAATCTTCTTCGGGAGTCCTATATATGATTCAGTTAGAAGCAGAGCTGCTTTGGGGAACCTTCCTCCCTTATGTGTCAACCCTGGAGGAGCCTCTTCATAAACCCACAAGAAAATCAATCCAGTTTAGGAGGTGACTGCTCCCATGAGGGCGACTCTTCCAGCTCAGACAAGGTGAGGGGCTCCTCGGCTTCTGGACTCA
The DNA here is from genome assembly GCF_000001405.40 of Homo sapiens. NCBI lineage: Eukaryota > Metazoa > Chordata > Mammalia > Primates > Hominidae > Homo > Homo sapiens. The sequence continues at coordinate 91,765,254 of NC_000015.10, read as the reverse complement.
GGGTTTCACCAGTTGGCCAGGAGTAAAAAGAGGAGGTGAGGCCAGAGTGAACCCTATGTCCTGTGGCATTAAATGAGGTCCAAAAGGAAGGGATCAAATGGACATTTCATGGGAAGAAAAATTTTAAGTCTTGTCTCTCTTCCCATTTTGGGAAAGAGCTCTGTGTGGGGATACTTGCAGTAGACATTTCACTTTTTTTTCCTTAAGTGAAACTCCCTGGGGATTTCTAACAGCAGGAAGCTCAGTGGAAAGCTCACAATCAACCAATTAATGTGATTGATGTGCAAAGTGAGAACTGGTAAAGCAGGAATGAAGAAAAGTCTCTTCAGCCCGAAATTAACAGAATTCGCTGATTATATCAATCAGATCAGAGAAGTGATTGCCAAGACTTTGTTTTTGTTTGTGCCATGTGGGCAGATGTAAAGGTCTGCTCTATCCAGGATCAGGGTTTTAATAATACATATTTTATAAAGAATGGCCACATACTGCCTTGGAAACTCAGCGAAGTCAAGTCTTCTGATGTCACAGTATTTTTCTCTCTCTCATTATTGAAATACTCAGACCTTCTTGTTATAAATTACAAATATTTGTGTCCCTTCTAATAATCTTCTGTCACATTAGACTTCGCTGCAGAATCGTAAGAAATGCAGGAAGTTAAGGTAATGCAAATCAGGTCTTCTGAACGCCAGAGATGTCTTTCCAGACTTTAAATCTCATGCATTCAGTGTGAGGTATAATAATTATCTTCAGTGTTGCAATTAACAGTTTCTGAAAAAATTCCACCATATGGAATGCAACTGCTGATCAATACATCACACTAACTAATTAGGTGTGGTGGGAAATTTTATGTGTCAACTTGACTGGGCCACGGGGTTCCCCGATACTTGGTCATACATTATTCTGAGTGTGCCTGTGAGGGTGTTTGTAGATGAGGTTAACATTTGAATCAGTAGACTAAAGCAGATGGCCCTCCTTCATGAGGGTGGGTTTCATTCAATTCACTGAAGGCCTGAATAGAATAGAAAGACAGCTCCTTCCTCTAGGAGTAAGGAGAACACCTTCTGCCTGATTGCTTTCAAGGAAGGAATTTGGCCTTTTCCTGCCTTTGGGCTTGAACTGAAGCACCGGCTCTTCCTGGGGTTTTGAGCTTGCTAGCGTTCAGACTGTAACTTGTACATGGGCTCTCCTGGTTTTCAGGCCTTTGGACTCAGACTGGAAATTACATCATTGACTCTCCTGGGTCTCCAGCTTGCTGACTGCAGATCTTGGGACTTGTCTCAGCCTCCATAATCATGTGAGCCAATTCCTTAAAATAAATCTATTTGTTTCCCTATATGCGTTCTATTTCTTCCGTTTTTCTGGAGAACCCCAACAAATAAAGTAGGAAATAATATCACAGCACACTGAACGGTATGTAACTGGCAGACTGGACTCTTTAAAATAAAACAAAAATACCTTCTTGGACTTCTGACTTTAAATTGGACATTAGTGACACTAAGCGTGACTGTCTTAGGGTTTGTTTCAGATCTTGTATATTGTTTACTTAATGAGAATAATTTCCAGAGAGCATATTTGATGTGATTCTATTGCTCTGGAACTAAATAATAGCTAAGGAGTAGAAATATCCAATGCTTTCTTTTAAACAAGAAGCCTGATATTATCAACTCCTCTCTCAGACACTTCTCAAAAGAAGACATTTATGCAGCCAAAAAACACATGAAAAAATGCTCATCATCACTGGCCATCAGAGAAATGCAAATCAAAACCACTATGAGATATCATCTCACACCAGTTAGAATGGCAATCATTAAAAAGTCAGGAAACAACAGGTGCTGGAGAGGATGTGGAGAAATAGGAACACTTTTACACTGTTGGTGGGACTGTAAACTAGTTCAACCATTGTGGAAGTCAGTGTGGCGATTCCTCAGGGATCTAGAACTAGAAATACCATTTGACCCAGCCATCCCATTACTGGGTATATACCCAAAGGACTATAAATCATGCTGCTATAAAGACACATGCACATGTATGTTTATTGCGGCATTATTCACAATAGCAAAGACTTGGAACCAACCCAAATGTCCAACAATGATAGACTGGATTAAGAAAATGTGGCACATATACACCATGGAATACTATGCAGCCATAAAAAATGATGAGTTCATGTCCTTTGTAGGGACATGGATGAAATTGGAAACCATCATTCTCAGTAAACTATCGCAAGAACAAAAAACCAAACACCGCATATTCTCACTCATAGGTGGGAATTGAACAATGAGATCACATGGACACAGGAAGGGGAATATCACACTCTGGGGACTGTGGTGGGGTCGGGGGAGGGGGGAGGGATAGCATTGGGAGATATACCTAATGCTAGATGACACGTTAGTGGGTGCAGCGCACCAGCATGGCACATGTATACATATGTAACTAACCTGCACAATGTGCACATGTACCCTAAAACTTAAAGTATAATTAAAAAAAAAAAACATTAAAAAAAAAAAAAAGAAGTACGAATTGGTTTCTGTCTGCCTGTGTTTTCAAGTTTCTGGCAATTAAAAAAAAGTATATCGCTGATTTATTTTGTGTTTGACTCATAATGAGCAAGCTTAGAAGATGAGATCTGAAGTATCTGGGCTTGTCCCAAATCCAGTGTTCTCTTGTTCCTATACGCCTTTGCACATTCTATTTTATTGGTCTGAAAAAAATAAAAATAAAAAAGATCTTACATCTTGTCTCTGTGGAAAGCCCCCCTGCTGCTCATCTTTGATATTCTAGTTCAAATGTCCCCCTCTCTGAGAAGTATTTTCCTATTCTTGGGAAAACTTGGAAGAACAGCTCTTGAGTTCTGAAATGCATTTACCTCCACTGCAGAAATTACCCTATGTTTCACCTGTTTATTATAACTCCTGCTTTCCCACTGGATGTCAAGCTTCTGGAGACAGGACCTCATTTATATCTTTTCCATATTGTGTTGCTATAATATGAATGCTGGCATTTACTGAGCACTTATGCTCTTAAAAACTTTATATTAATAAATTAATCTTCATGACAGCCCTATGGTTTAGATTCTATTAGTTTCTTTACCTTGAACTGAAGAAGCTGAGGTTTGGAGAAGTTGACCTACAAGCGTAATCTCCTTACTGTTGTTGTAGAGTACTTACTGTTACTCTCATTACTCTTGTCATTTTTCTTTCCCAGTAGGTTGGTCTATACAGCTGTCAACCTAGAAATGTTCTCCATGAGACAACTCTCCAGGTGTCTGCTGCCAATGGAACTGGAATTTCCTTAACCCTACATAACCTAGTTTCCGGGCTGGGTGCAGTGGCTCGCTCCTGTAATCCCAGCACTTTGGGAGGCTGACACAGCCAGATCGCCTGAGGTCAGGAGTTCGAGACCAGCCTGGCCAACATGGTGAAACCCTGTCTCTACCAAGAACATAAAAAATTAGCTGGGCATGGTGGCAGGTGCTTGTAATCCCAGCTATTCGGGAGGCTGGGGCATGAGAATCACTTGAACCGGGGAGGCAGAGGTTGCAGTGAGTCGAGATTGTGCCACTGCACTGCAGGCTGGGTGACAAAGAAAGACTCCATCAAAACAAACAAACAAACAAACAAACAAACAAAAAAACCCTGGCTTCCATTAGCTGGTTGTAGGCTACCTACCCACATCAGTGTGGGGCCCGTCATCAAATCCCCGGAGAGGAACAATTCAAATTCAGGGGACACTGGCACAGGAGCTTAGTAAGTACTTTATAATGCATGTTATGTTCATTTCTTTTTATTTTCTCTTGCACTCACACACACAAACACTCAATTTCCAAATTTCTTATATAAAAAATTTTGAGACGGTAACAGAGAGGAAAGACACAGAAAATTCTCTCTGTTTTAGGTGGAGAAGAGAGGGCGGTATGGAGATTGAAGCAATCAGACGCTCCTTTCTCAGGGTCGGATTCCCACCTGCTTCCCGATCCCAACTTTACCTTTTCCTGTAGCAACCCCCTGCTCCTCACTTGATCTCCTGGGGCTTGGCAACGGTCTCTTTCCCTTGTGCTTTTTGAAGGCTGTCACTGGATATCTCAGAGAAACCCTTGATGGGCCAAATGAGATATGGGGTCCCTCATTAAAGCACCATGATTCTGGCTGGGAGGTCAAATAATGAAGGGAAAGCCTCATTGTTACTGTCGGAGTTGTAGACCTGCTTGAATGACTCAAGGAGAAAGAGAGGTAGTCAAAACAGGGCACCAGCTCATGTGAGGCCTGGAAACAATAAGAAAAGAATGTATTTCGTCTTCTAAAACGGCCACACATTTGTGGGAGGCCCCCCACCTTAGATAGTCAAGCTCAGTTTGGAAGATTCCAGATTTGCAATCGTTGCAGCAAAGAAAAACAAATAGTTTCCTGTAGCAAAGGTCTTTCGTACCCATCAGTACGTGCCCTGTGGAGCAACACCCAGCAATCTTGAGTTTTATATCATGCGTCTCATTCTTTTCTCTGTTTGTGAGAACGAATCTCTGGGTAAATGAATGAATCTCTGCCTAAAACAGCTCAGAGAGGACTGATGGCCTAGAAACAGGATTTCCGAGTCTCCAACAAATCTCTGAAGTAGCTCTAAGATGCTCTCATTAGATAAGGATTCAAATTAAGTTTGGTGTGACTTCTTAGAAGACGCCTGCTTTTGCAGTAGGTAAAAAGTTGCTTCCAGGCTTTTTAGAAAAGAGATAATAAATACCTCTCTCAAAGAAACTTTGTGCCAAATGTCCATATGATTTTACAGTTCTTCCCATGCCCAGGGAAGTAGGCAAGAGGCCGGTGATTGCTGGATTTACAGTCAAGTAGTAGAATGTTAAAGAGACATCCTTCTCTATAGTAACGTGGATCCATTACAGGCTACACCACTCACATAATACTTGCATCATTGCTCAAGAACATCAGTAGTTAGAAATACTATTTAGTTATTTAAGGACTCCTGACACCACAAACCTGCTGGTCCAAGAAATTTTATTTAAACATAAAGATGTACTTAGAAAATAAAAATTCAGATTCATTCAGCATTTTCTTCTCCTATGTCTACCTGCAATCGTCTCTCCACCCACAGGCGACCATCACTGCTCTAGGGGAGAAAAAGGCACCAGGGGTCTCCTCCCAGGGGAACAGCTCTGCCTTCTCAGGCCCTTCTTAAGTCAAAATGCCTGTACTTCCTTGCCAAATAATTTCTACATGGCAGGTCCTTCTGTGTCTGATAGGAGAACTCCTTGTTGAAATTTTATATACACATATGTTTCTACAAGATAAAGGGAACCAGACAAGGAGATTAATTGTGTTCAGTGCCTTTCAGCTGAAGGAGTCCATATTCCCAGGAGAATGACTGGAACTCTGCTGAGGAGTTCAAATTCAAACAAACCACCATGGGCATTAAGACCCCAGGCAAAGAGTGCTGCTCTGTTTAATGTCCACTCCAGGTGACAGGCCCTTTTGCAAAGGGCACTGATGCCACAGCCTCTGGACAGAGCAGTTATAATCGGAACCTTTGTTCTGCAAGCCAATCTAGGCCACTGTGTTCCTGAGATGGGGTTCAGGGGTATCAGTGACTTTCTTGCCTCTATAGAGGGATCACAGACTCTTCGAATGACCTCATTGCACTTAAACTTGATATTCAGCACAGACTTGGGAGTATTCCCTATTATAATTTCATGCACACTATCACTGTGACCAGTATAAAATGAGAATTTGTGACAAGGTCTTATTTTAAATGTCCTTGCCAGTCAGTGCAGACTGTGGGCTATGGGAGATGTGGGGCTGTTATTTTAGTGAAAAAAGGAGCTAATAAATATGTAAATCACATTATCTTTATTCATAACCTGCCAGGGATCAGACATGAGATAACAGCCAAAAAGTACTATGTTATCTATAATATTAAGTGATTTAATATCTCAAAACTTCAAACACTGGGAAAATTGCATGAAATAAATACTTCTTCCTGGTCAACTTCTTGGTGAGCAATATTTAACAGGACTGTCAATTCTTTGTGTGAGTGTATGTGTGTGTGTGTGTGTGTGTATTTCTTCCTTTTCTAAACCACCTTGTACTTGAAGTTGAGCATGTAGATCTCCATTCTTTAAAGAAAGAAGCCTGAGTTGCTCCCTTCTGATAACTGCCCTACTGTCAGAAGCAAGGCTTATTCAACTGCGGCCCCATCCTTCTCATTTTTTTAGTAGGAGGCTTGGAAGCACCAGTGAAATCCCTCATGCTTCTATTTTCTCCTTGGGCTCTGGGACCCCCCCACGGTGGAGGAAGCCCCTCGAGTCAAAGCTTCTGCCACTCGCCCATCCATCTGATCCCCAAGGTCAGATGTGGATGTCTGCTTCCCCCTGAGGTTCATGTTTCCAGCAGGACGGAGAAACGACCTTCCTATTAGAAACCGAGGGACTCATTTCCTTTTGAGATGTGTTTTTCTTTGGATCATCCAATTATCCTCACCCAGAAGAGTAATTGCTGAGAAGCTGTGTGCTCCTGGAATTGGAGGGATTTTAGAGGTCACCCAGCTGGGTTTACACCTCAGATCCCCGGAGGACAAAGCCCTGGAAAGATGAAGATGGATTCTCAGCCCGGCTCTGTCATCCTCCCAGGGCTGTGACCTGACGTTGGGTAGGTTACTTCACTTCTAAGCCTTGCCTTTCTCATCCTCAAAACTGGGAAAGTGAGGCCCACCTTAGAGGGCAGAGGAGGTCCCAGAGCGGCGGGAGGTGGCACGGAATAGGTACCCCACAAATGTGGATTTCTGTCCCTTATCACTTTCCTCTCCAAATGAGGAGCGTATTTTAATCTCTGGGTCCTATGGATGAGACGATTCTTCCTCACACAGCACACATTCATCTCGCAGTTGATGATTTATGTGGCCCTCTCATGGGTGTTGTCTCATTTCACCTTCATAAGGAGAGCCAGAGCCATCACCCACATGTTATGTTTGAGCACATGGGGTCTCAGAGAAGTCGGTTTCGGCCTCCCTTGGGTCACTGTGCTCAACCCCTGATACTGCTCTGTGTTTTCTTTCTCCCATGGCTCCTTGCATTCTCTAACTTATACTCTGCTCCTTGCCTGACCTAGCCCAAGTGTCCAACATGGCACCTGGCACCTAGTAAACAATCCATATTTGATGAATGAGCTAATCAAATTAATGCAGTTAGCGAGTGACAAAGAAGGGATCAAATCCCCAACTCCTGTCTCTAAATTTTACTTACCAGCTGGCCTAGGTGTGGTATTGATTAGTATTCAATACCATTCGAGCTGATCAAGATAGAGAGAGGACAGAGAGAAGGAAAGGAAGAAGCAAAGAGGGGAGGGAAGGAAAGAAGAGAAAGTGGGAATCCAAGGAGGTACCACTAAAGGAAGCTGACAAGTGCCATCTCCTTTAATGGTATCATGACCCCATGTCAAGCCTGCAGAGCTGCTTTGTGGATAACGCCCTGAGTTAGATGCTCCCCAGGGATGTTAGCACCATCACCACCAGGCACTTCAGCTCATTGTATGCCCTTCAGCATGTCCCTCCTACTCAGTTCAAGACACCACCCCACAGGGACAAGAGGGGCAACTTGCTCTTGTAACTGTGCAAACACAGGATTGCATCCCTCTGGGGTAGGCAGTGCCCAGGAATGGCTGCAGAGACGGGTGCCATCATCGGCCAGGATGAGCACAAAGCAGTAATTTGGGGGGACTTTTAGCACCTCTGTGTACTTGGAAGAAGAAAAGACACAGGGAGGTCTGGCCAGTCAGGAATGAAGTGTTTTTCAGAAGCTATACCAGAGTTCCAGAAAAAAGAAGTGGCAGGTTGGGGGGTGGGGGTGGTGGCTCACGCCTGTAATCCCGGCACTTTGGGAGGCCGAGGTGGGCAGATCACCTGAGGTCAGGAGTTTGAGACCAGCCTGACCAACATGGAGAAACCCCATCTCTACTAAAAAAATACAAAATTAGCCAGGCATGGTGGCACATGCCTGTAATCCCAACTACTTGGGAGGCTGAGGCAGGAGAATCACTTGAACCTGGGAGGCAGAGGTTGCAGTGAGCCAAGATCGCATCACTGCACTCCAGCCTGGGCAACAAGAGTGAAACTCAGTCTAAAAAAAAAAGGCAGGGGTTGGGGGAGGAGGGAAGAGGGAGAGAGGAGGGAAATCAGAATTTAAGCCATTTGGAATCCTACATAAGCAACTTTCTGGAAAGGAGAGCTCATGTACCATATCCCTAAGCCCCAGAGTCAGTTCCCAGAAACCTTTATTTTATGAGTTATGGAGACTTCCTGTGCCCAAACCACTGTGGAATATCTCCGGTCTTCCTGGAGTCAGCAGGTGAGAGAGCAAGAGACCTCTTCTCGCTCATCAGAATGTGACACAAAAGAGCTCCTTTTATTGCTAAGGAAGGTCTCAGGTCCCTGTGCACAGTGCTCTGCCAATGTGGTTATACACCTTGGGCCATCCTGAGCCATTTTTTTTCTTCACAGTCAATTCTCATTATTTGCTGTAGTTATGTTGTATAAATTCACCTCAAACACTAAATTAACCAAGACCAAAACACAGGGTTAGGGCTACTGCAAGCCTCCAGTCACATTGTCATCTGTCAATCAATACATAGCCTTGCCGTATGTGTGTTTCAGTTTAAAGACACCTCATTTAATATATATTGTTGACTCATTAACATTGAACTCAGGGTCAACAGCACTGTCACGTGTGACTGAAGGAAGCTTATCTAAGACACATAAGGTGCATCATAGCCGCCCTGCACGTAGCCGCTAGACAGCACTTCAGCACTGGGCTTGGGGACCGTTTTATACAGCAAAACCATGGACGAAAAGCACAAAAGTGAGAAAAACATGGCCCTGAACAGACTGCAAAAAGGATACTCGTTTTACATTATGAGAGTAAAACAAGAAGGCAGAGGGTCCGCTTGTCCAACTTTAGCTGGGAACACGTGAGCGTTGGGTGACTCAAATTTTTCACAGCTTTGCACATGTCCATGAATGGCCAAGACAGTGCTGCGCGTGTTGATTTTGAGGTTACACGTAGATTTCAGCAAGTAGGTGAATTTTCAAATACAGAATCTGTGAATCATGAGGACTGGCCATATTTTCAGGAAGTGGTTGGCACTGCCGTGAGGTTTCTGGGAGAAGACAATTAGATCAGGACACCAATGTGCTCTAACCAACAGTGCACCAACCCCTGTCCTAACTTTGACCAGCTTTGGAATGGCTGGTGCAGCCAGTGATGAGTAGCAGGAGTCTGGGCATCATTGAGGGCAAGAGTTGGCTAATTTTTTTCAACCAAAGTCCAGAGAGTAAATATTTTAGATTTTGTCAGCCATAAGATCTTTGCCACAGCTCAACTCTGCCATTGTAGCATAAAAGCAAGCAAAGACAATGATCGGTGAATAAAAAGGACCGAGTTCCACTAAATATTATTTACAAAAACAAACAGGGGGTTGATTTGTCCCAGGGATTTTGGTTTGCTTAAACCTGATCTAGGGCACCAGTGCCTATGCAAGGGAGCCTGTTCTCCTTGCTGTGAGCTCTAGGCATCTCAGATGTGCCTCTTTTCACCAAAGCCCAAAAGATGCCAAGCATAACAGTCTTTAAAGGAATCTATGTGAGAAAAGCAATAAGCCAAACTGTCATAGCATAAACAAATTATTTCACATTCATTCTATATTTGGTGTGAAGCTCAGATGTGGCAGTTGAGGTGAGGAGTCAAATAAAGTAGAAATCATGAACTTCACCATCATCATCACCACCACTACCACGATCATCAACAATAAAACACTTACTGAGCATTTACTATGGACTAACACAGTTCTAAGCACTCTGCGTGGTTAACAAAACAGCCTAGTGCTGTAAGTTCTGTTAGCATCCTTATATTATCAAAGATGAAATAAGACATAGATTAAGTAGTAGGATAGTTTCAGTAGGGGAAATGTTTGCAATTTATGTGAACAATAGATACCTTTCTTTAAAAGAAATGCATAGTGAAGGTCAATCTTGATTTTTTTCCCTCTTACCTGCAGACAGTATGTAGGACCATCTATATTCCCCAAACCCATGAGATGGTTTAAAGCCTCTGAGCCTTTGCACGTACTATTCCTTTTATGTGAATGCCCTTTCTCCGATCGTCTCCTCGTTCACCCTTCCAAATGTGCCGTGAGCAGGCTCTTCTCCTTTGTAAATTCTTTTTCCTCTCTGCTTAGCTTACCGTCTCCACCCATGAGTAAATCAGTCCCCCTTGAAAGCAATTCTGGACCTCTTATCTATTTTTTATTACCACACATAGAACAGTTAATTGCAAGAGCAGTTAATGTGGCAGTTTACAAAGAGCTTTCTCCCATATCGACTCATTTGACTCTCATAAGAAGTCGGCTAGGTTGGTACTATTCATCTCATTTTACAGAGGAAGAACCAGGGTCAGGAGTGGCAAAGGGGGCTAATCTCACAAGTCAACCCATATTAATTGAGAACACGGGCCACCTAAGGGACTCAGAGTCTATGCATCTGTTGGTCCCATTCATGTCTGTGTTTCTTGTGCCTAGTGCAGTGTAGCCTTTCTCTGGCACACTGCAAGTGCTCAATAGGTGCTTGCTGGACAGGACATTTTTACCACTCTATTTATAATAACACTCAGTAGTTTCATCTGGAACTAGGATAGCAAATGAAGAGAAAAATTGCCATCCTGGACTTACGTGTCTTTCTAGCACAGAGATTTGTTTGAAAGGGGCAATTGCTCTTTTAGTATCAGGAAGGCTAGATTGTCCTCTGGAATGTCAATCTAAAAACCATGTAGGGATGTCATCCATGAAATTATCTAAGCTGCTCTGTAATAAAACTGATATCGTATGACATTCTCATTTTTACTTGGAGTTTTCACATATATCACTTTATTTCATCCTCAACAGGGAGGCAGCTAGATAGGGAGAGAGGATACTTGGACTAAGCAGCTGACAACCAAGTGTTGGTTCTGGGCCCAGCACTTGCCACTGCTTACCTCTGTGATTACGGACAGGAACTTAAATGATCTGACTCACAGTCTTCCTCTCTGCAACATGGGACTAATAATCCCTTCTTCATCTTCTTTTCAGGATTGTTCCAAGTTTCAAATGAGATAGTACATGCAAGTGTATCCAAAGAAATTTGTAAAGCATTTCGAATATAGCTGTTTCTGTAATCAGGTTTATTAGCGTTTCCCCCACATATGTCTCTTTCCAAGATGTGAGGTTGTTCTACTAGGGTAGGACACCATGACCTAGCTGATAGGCACAGGGTGATGCACATGTCACTGCCTCCCACCCCATTGCTCAGGACAGACATCACTAATCAACCACAACACTGTTTCCTGGGCTTCAAATCCTTTTAAATGTGATGCTTTGTCTAGGGAAATGTTTCTTAAATTATCTGTCATGAAGGGCCTGTTTTTTCTCTTTTTAAATTTCTAATCTGTTGCCGACTAGAATACAGTCCTACTATACATGACTAAAAAAGAGCTCAAGCTGTGTGAGACTCACCATATGAGTTTGACAACAGGTAAACTGGTCCATACCCTGCTCAGTGAAATGAGTCTACCGATCACATGCTTGGATGTCATGGCAACATTAAATTCCTTTTAGAGTTTTTAGGTGGGGTGCAGTAGCTTATACCTGTAATCCTAGCAGCGCTTCGGGAGGCCAAGGCAGGAGGATTGCTTGATGCTAGGAGTTTGAGAACAGTCTGGGAAAGAAAGCAAGACCCCCATGTCTACAAAAGATTTTTTAAAAAAATTAGCCAGGCATGGTGGTCCGTGCCTGTAGTCCCAGCTACTTGGGAGGCTGAGGCAGGGGAATTGCTTGAACCTGGGAGCGGAGATTGCAGCGAGCCGAGATTGCGCCCCTGCACTCCGTCTCAAAAAAAAAAAAAAAAAAGAGTTTCACCTGGGTGCAGTGGCTCACACCTGTAACCCCAGCACTTTGGGAGACTGAGGCGGGCAGATCATTTGAGGTCAGGAGTTCGAGACCAGCCTGTTGTCCCAGCTACTCAGGAGGCTGAGGCAGGAGAATCACTTGAACCCAGGAGGCGGAGGTTGCAGTGAACCGAGATTGCGCCACTGCACTCCAGCCTGGGTGAAAGAGCGAGACTACACTTCAAAAAAAAAAAAAAGAGCTTTAAAATATTTATTTTCATTTTCTACTCTTGGACTATACTTTGAATAGCACTGTGATTGGCAGGAGGGCTCAATTAATATGGGTTGGCTTGTGAGATTAGCCCCCTTTGCCACTCCTGACCCTAATTCTTCCTCTGTAAAATGAGATGAATAGCACGAACCCAGCCAGCTTCTTATGAGAGTCAAATGAGTCGATATGGGAGACAGCTCTTTGTAAACTCTGCCACGTTATCTAAATGCTAGGTTATTACTGTGATCTCCATATCCATTTCCCAGTCCTTGAAAATTATATAACAATACATGTAAAAGCTTTGCTCAACAAACGCGGGGTATTTTCTCATTATTACTGTTTTCTCTTTGTGTTTGTTTTCCTAGATCAAGCGTGCTCATCATTTTTTGTTCTGTTCTTATTTGCCAGCACTGCAACCCTATTGTAAGAGAATGTGAAAATGTCACTCTGTCTGCGGCTTTCAGCAAGGCCTCAAAGCCTTAGAAGAGGACAGTAGGTGGCAAGTTCCACCGCGTCCTTAGCAGGGCATGCTGAGAGATTGGAAAACCAGTTCTGCAAGCATTAGCCCTTCATCTGCTTCCAGGCTTAAGGAAGGCAGGAGAGGCTGATAGAAAGAGGGTTTCTTTGGATGCATTTTCAGGGTGCTGTACTCCAACCCCTGTCCCCTGTGTGAGTGTGGGTGGGAACTTATGGCTCACTGCAAGTCAACTGAGAGGGCTTTGAGGGGCCACCTGGGGAGTCTGGCATGTGCCCACTGGCATTTGGGGAACATAGAAATGTGTCTTACTATAGCCAACAGAATTCAAAAGGAAGCAGCTGTGACTGATGCCACCCTTATCAGATTATCAAGAACAAGGGTGATTGTTCTCCGGGGGCCAGATGTGGACTTGGTGAAAGGGACCAAAGAAGATGTCCTGGAGAGACAATGTGATCCCAGGAGAGGGGTGGGCCACTAGAAACCGAGAGGCTGAGGAGAGGGGCTTTGTTCTCAGGAGAGAGGCTTTGTTGTGTGTGTGTGTGCATGAGTGTACATGTGAGTGTGCATATGCATGAGTGTGTGAGTGAGTGTGTGTATGGATGAGTATGGTGTGTGTGCATGAGTTGTGTGTGTGTGTGTGTGTAGTAAGTTGGCAAGGACTCTTCAAAAGTGCCTGTGACAGCAAAACTCAGTAAATGTGTGCCTTCCACCTTCCATCCAAGACAGACCAAAGCCAGATGCCAACAGTACCAGCATGTAAGACTTATTTCCTCTTCCCCTGTTCCATCCCATCTTGGCCCTGCCAGGAACATTTAGAAACAGCATTCCAGGAACAGCAGAAACCAGGCACCCAGCCTGAAGCCAGCTTGAGGTGGGTGAGGAATTCGCAGTGTTTTGATAATTGCACTTTGTCTCACTGGAATTATGTAATTATTAGATTGGACTCTACGTTTTGATGCCAAAACAAAGATATTATTTGTTTATTAACCAAAAATGATTAAGAATTAGTAAGGGCATGTCTGATAAAATATTTTATCCCACAATGAGAAAAAAAAGTTGGGTTCGAAGGGACAAAGGGGAAAATAATTAAATCAATTCTTCTACCCCTCTTTTGAATTAAGCTCGTTCCGTGAACAGGTCTCATCATCATTTATTTTAGTTGCCTTCCTGGACTTTCTACAGCTACAGGAAGCATCCAGAGCTGAGGGCATATAGTCTAAGTGGTGGAGCTAGAACCCTGTGAGTCCTACAGGAGGAGATGGTTTCCAGCTCCTCTTACCAATGCCATCGAAAAGACTTGATCTTACTCCGATGACCAAGTGAGTCAGGATTGTACTCCCTCTGCGATAACCAACTGGCTTTAATAATTAAACACAGTGTAGCCACAACCACTACACCATATTACTGCCACCACTGCCACAGCAGCCACCAGCACCGCCATCACCATCACAGTTGCCAACAGCATCACCACAGCCTGCATTTCCATCGCCAGCACTACCAGAACTACTACCACCACCATCACTGCTCCCACCACCACCATCCCTACCACCACCACCTCCACCACTACTATGTCCACCACCATCCCTACCACCACCACCTCCACCACTACTATGTCCACCACCATCCCTACCACCACCACCTCCACCACTACTATGACCACCACCATCACTACCACCTCCACCTCCACCACTACTATGTCCACCACCATCCCTACCACCTCCACCTCCACCACTACTATGTCCACCACCATCCCTACCACCACCACCACCACCACTACTATGACCACCACCATCACTACCACCACCACCACCACCACCACTATGACCACCACCATCACTACCACCACCACCACCACCACTACTATGACCACCACCATCACTACCACCACCACCACCACCACTACTATGACCACCACCACCACCACCACCACCACCACCACCACCACCACGACCACCACCACCACCACCACCACCTCCACCACTACTGTCTCCACCACCATCACTGCTACCACTACTACCACTACTGTCTTCACCACCATCACCACCACCAACACCATCACTGCCTCTACCATCACCACCCCTCTACTGCCATTGTCTCCAGCACTACCACCAATGCCACTGTCACCATGACCAGCACCATCTCCACCACCTCCACATCCACCACCACCAACTTCACCTCCACTATCACTTCCACCATCACCACCATCACCACCCCTCCACCACCATCACTGCCAGCACCATCGCCAGCACCTCCACCACCATCATCTCTACTGCCACTGCCATCACCACCTCCATTGTTACCTCCACCATCTCCACCTTCAATTCCAACCACCTCCACCTCCACCACCCTCACCCCCACCCCCACCAACCGTAACACCTTCAATTCCAACACCACTACCACCTCTTCCTCCAATTCCACCACCACCATTATCACCACCACCACCGCTACTACCTTCATCTCCATCTCCACCACCACCATCTCCACCACCACCTCCATCTCCACCTCCACCTTCATCACCACCACCTCCACCTCCATCTCCATCTCCACCACCTCCACCTCCATCTCCATCTCCACCACCTCCACCTCCATCTCCATCTCCACCACCTCCACCTTCACCTCCACCTCCATCTCCACCTCCACCACCTCCACCTCCATCTCCACCACCACCTCTACCACCTCCACCACCACCTCCACCTCTACCACCTCCACCTCCACCTCTACCACCTCCACCTCTACCACCTCCACCTCCATCTCCATCTCCACCTCCACCTCCACCACCTCCACCTCTACCACCTCCACCTCCATCTCCACCTCCACCTCCACTGCTCCCACCACCACCTCCATCTCCACCACCACCTCTACCACCTCCACCACCACCTGCACCTCTACCACCTCCACCTCCACCTCTACCACCTCCACCTCCACCTCCATCTCCATCTCCAACACCTCCATCTCCATCTCCATCTCCACCACCTCCACCTCCATCTCCACCTCCACTGCCCCCACCACCACCTCCATCTCTACCACTACCTCTACCACCTCCACCACCACCACCTCCACCTCCACCTCCACCGCCCCCACCACCACCTCCATCTCCACCACTACCTCTACCACCTCCACCACCACCACCTCCACCTCCACCACCTCCACCTCCACCTCCATCTCCAACACCTCCATCTCCATCTCCATCTCCACCACCTCCACCTCCATCTCCACCTCCACTGCTCCCACCACCACCTCCACCTCCACCACCACCTCTACCACCTCCACCACCACCTCCACCTCTACCACCTCCACCTCCACCTCCACCTCTACCACCTCCACCTCCACCTCCATCTCCATTTCCAACACCTGCATCTCCATCTCCATCTCCACCACCTCCACCTCCATCTCCATTTCCAACACCTCCATCTCCATCTCCATCTCCACCACCTCCACCTCCACTTCCACCTCCACCTTCATCTTCATCACATCCATCTCCATCAATTCCATCACCACCACCACCATCACCATTTCCACTTCCAGTACCACCAAGTCCACCACCACCACAGCAACTGTCACCACCATCACTGCTGACATTATTGCCACCACAACCACCATTGCCACACCACCCCTCCCCCAGGACTAAAATCTCCACTGCCACCCTGTACTTGCTACCACCCTACCATCTCTGCTGCCACCACCACCACAACCACTGGCATTATTGCCGCCATTCCTGCTGCCACAGCCACCACCACAACCACCATTGCTTATACGACTATCAGTCTCCACCATGACTACTACAACCTCTGCTGCTGCCACTGCCACCACCACTACCACTTCTGCCACTATTTGTGATGTATTACTTGTGTCAAACAGAGTGTCAAATACTGCATGTGTAATATTTTATTTAATCTTCACAATAATCTTTGGAGGTAAATACTATTATTATCTTTATTTTACAAGTGAGGAAACAGAGGCTCAGGAAGGTTAAGTAGCTTCCCTAAGGATGCAAAGCTGCAGTTGCATTCTACTCTTATTCATTGAAAATAAAGTAATGGAAGTGTTCTTCTTTGAAGAATCCTCATTTCAACAGCGTTTTTCATGAGATTCTCATGACAAAGATATTCCTCCTTCTCATGGTTTATCCTCTTAAAGATATTCTTAATTATTTAATAAATAGAAAATACATAGTGAATAAAAAATTTCCAAAATGGTCTGTAATCTCTCCAAATCCTGATCTCAAGAGGGGAACCAACGGAGGGAGAGTGAGTAGGAGGTACCCCAATCTTCTGGAGGTGGGGTCTCTTGTCTCCTGGTGGTGGCTCCATTGTGAACTTCCTGAACTACTTCCTTACTCCCTGGTGACAATGGTTTTACACTCCTTGGCTAAACCACCGCATCAATGAGGTAGGTGAGTTTTGGGAAATCTTTGTGTTTAGTTAAGAAACTAAACAGGAAGAAATGATCCCCAGTTTCAGTGCACTCATCAAACCTCCTTCGTGAGTTGCTGCTTTGTGATTTCTCCTTCCGCTATAATAGCATCATCCTCCCTGATCCCCAGCCACAGCCCTGGAAGTTGTCTTTTATCTTTCTTTCTCCTAATTCTACGTGCTTTTGATTAATATGGAAACAATCGCCCCACCCACCAGCGAAAGGGCCTGGACTTTGAATGGATTTTGTTTTGTTTTTCCCTGGCTGGTATCTGTATTCTCTTGCCTAAGCCCTTAAGGATATTAGTGTTGACAATAAAACTGGCAGGCTTGGAAGTATAATTTCTGTATGTCGAATGGGATGTTTGGAAGTCAGAGGTACTGGAAAGCGTAAGTTTTCCCTCAGAGTTAAAAGAGGCTGAGGATAGAATATTGATTTCCAGTGAATGCCCCTCGAGCTCTGGTATTTCATGAATACTCCAAGATAAAAGTCAAGTGCCTAAAGCACTTCTGCTACACACTGAAGCACCACGGTTTTCCAGAGGAAAAGCACTTGTGTAGTTGTCTGAATTGCAAGCTGAAATATCAGCATTTTAGTATTTTAAGGAAACACTATTTTTATCTGGAACAATGACTAATAGACCAATTCTAGTTATGCAGATTTGGATATTCTAAAGACATTTTCTTAAAAATATATAAAGTGGGTCTATCGCTAACAACTGACAATTTTTGTTGCCAATGATAAAATTTAACATTTCAAGTGAAAGTTAGACTTTTGGAAAATTTGTATTTGCCACTGCAAGCTTGGCAGCTTCCCAATAATTGCTTTTCTAATGAGATTGGTGGTGGTATTAATAAATGTAATTTTTATATTGTATAATGAAATATGACATTTAGAAGATCTGTATAACTCAGTGAATTAATATTTTCTAAGTGATCACTGCATGACATTACAAAAGCATGCATGAGTTAAATGTCTGTTCAGAGTGCAAAGTGAACTGACAGATTTTAATGTAACCATGTATGAAAGAAGTTCACTGATAATGTTTCAATTTGGTATTTCAGCTCATCTTTAAGAAATTACCACTTGTTGAATTTTGGTGTACTAGTAAAGGAGGATATCCATAATTATTTTTTTTGAGACGGAGTCTCACTCTGTAGTCCAGGCTGGAGTGCAGTGGCACAATCTTGGCTCACTGCAAGCTCCGCCTCCCGGGTTCATGCCATTCTCCTGCCTCAGTCTCCTAAGTAGCTGGGACTACAGGTGCCTGCCACCACGCCCGGCTAATTTTTTGTTTTTTAGTAGAGACGGGGTTTCACCATGTTAGCCAGGATGGTCTTGATCTCCTGACCTCGTGATCCACCTGCCTCAGCCTCCCAAAGTGCTGGGATTACAGGCATGAGCCACCGCACCCGGCCAATATCCATAATTATTAAAAAAGGTTATTAAAATCTCTTTATTTTCCAACTACATAATTGTATAATGACAGTTTTCTTTATATACTTCAAACAAACCAACAGCTTGCAGCAGGTTGAAAGCAGAATCACGTTTTAGAATCTAGTTATCATCTTTAGACATTAAAGATATTTTTTAAAAACACAAAACAATGCCATTTTTCTAACTAAAAAGGCTTTAATTTTGGAAATGTATTTCCAAAATTCATTGCCAAGTACATTAAGGTAATAAATATATCTCCATTTATTAAGGTAACAACAAACCCACTGCATGTCAACAAAAATACCATGCATTTGTATTTTCATTGTATTTGTATACAAATGCATGTATTTTTATACAAATGCATGGTATTTTCATGCAAATGCATGTACCTTTATACAAAAGCATGATATTTTCATACAAATGCATGTATTTTTATACAAAAATGCATGGTATTTGCATACAAATGCATGGTGATTTTGCTAACATGTAATGGGTTTGTTATTACCTTAATAAATTGCTAAGTAGATATATTTTAGCCTTTCACAGTTTTAACTCAGATGAAAAAATATTGATAGATATAACCTATGTAAACAACAGCTCTCTGAAGTCATAAATCAATTTTAATAATGTAAAGGTATCTGAAGCCAAGATTTAAGCTGCTACTGTATCACACAGGGACATCGATAAAGAAGGGCTTTCCTTTTTATTTTGGTATGTATAAAACACTGACTGAATGCATACTGTGGACAAAGAACCATATTAAATCATAAATCTCCTGTTCTACAAAGAGAAATATGACAAAGTCCTGGTCAAGGGAGTTACAGTTTGATAGGATAGATGAACAAATATTAAATAATACAAATGAATTAACATATCTTTCAGCAAATTTTTTTTAATGTGTAAGATCCTGTGCTGAGAAAGGGGCCTACAATGAAGAACCTGATAGGCATATTCTAACATGTATTAGTCATTTAATTATTGAATCACATTGCTGGTAAGTGGGTCCAAGACAGAGTTCTCAAGCAGCTAATCAAGGAAGTGGTTAATCAGTTAATAGCTGATGATCAGTTAATCAGGGAAGCTATCCAAGAAGCTGTTATGTTTCACTGAGATCTCCATGAAGAGTAGGAGTTAGCCTGGAGAAGGGATGAGAGAAGAAAGAAAAAAGTGTTTCCAATAGAACAGACAGTGCATAAAATGGACCTAACCAGAAAGACACTTTCTCCCTTGTGGTACTTAATGAAAGTTACTGTGGTTGTAGAAGAGGAAATCAGCCTCTCTGCGATCAACAGATGTTCTTGGCTCAGCATATCAGAATATCAGCCAAAGAGATCCTTAATGTTTTGTTGCCCTGGGCAAATACTGTGTCTCCCTTGTACAGTTTCACTATTTTACTTTCCTGGATAAATATGGGGGAAATATTACACTCTCTTATGGATTCTAGACACTTTATAGGACAAATAGTTCCTTCAAACAAATGTTGTCAGTGCCTCTACATAAATACCCTTTTGAAGTTTGATAGCTTATGACAAGGCTTACTTTTTCTTCTCTGGTGAGCAACGCAGTGCCCCTTCTTCTCTACCTGAGCATCCTGAGGCCTTCTCTCCCTTTGCTGGATACAGGGCAATTCTTGGAAACAGGATTTGTTGCGCTCAGATCTAAAATAAAGCCTGTCAGGTGGATGTGTTAAGAATTGGGCTTGAAGTGGTCCTCGGCCCATGGCTAGTGAGAAGTCTTCTTTCTTCCTACCTTTCTTATGAAAGGCAAAGCCTTGTTTTCAAATTCTGAATCTGTGGGGTTTCCTCCCCTATAGCATAAGGCTACCAAACTCAAGGGGAAGGGGAGGATAAGGGTGATGAGAAAGAAAGAGGTTATATTGCTCAGGGTCCTGTAATTTTGGTGATTTTTACATTTTATTTTAAAAATCAATAGAGAAACTATTGAAAGATTTAAGGTTTGAAAAACGTAGAGTCGAATTAGTGTTTTCAAAATGATAAATTTGGCTAGAGAGAAGATGACAGCAGGAAGGCAGTCTTCTGTGGATACAAAAACAAACAAACAAAAAAACAAAAAAACCCAAAAACAATTCAAGCCTATTGCAGTGATCCAGGTGAGAGACGAAGACTTCACCCAGTGGAGTGTCCATGAGTATGGAGCAGTGTGGAAAGATTTGAAAGATATTTTGTAAGGAGAAGCAATAGGCCTTGATAAAGTATTGGATATATGTGGTATGTTGGATAGGGAGGTGTTAAACCAGGTTTCTAGATAATGCAATGGCATAGATAGGAGTGTCACTCACTGACATAGGAAACAGAAAGAGGACTGGGTATGGAGCAGGGTCCTTGAGTTCTGATTTAAATATACTGAGTTTGAATTGCCAGTGAGTGATCATGGTGGATATGCTAAATAGGCAACTGGATACATAGGTTTAGCATTCATAGG